>NC_000005.10:179522465-179672911 GCF_000001405.40 Homo sapiens | reverse complement strand
TAATCCCAGCACTTTGGGAGGCTGAGGCAGACAGATCATGAGGTCAGGAGTTCAAGACCAGCCTGAGCAATATGGTGAAACCCCATCTCTACTAAAAATACAAAAATTAGCTGGGTGTGGTGGCACCCGCCTCTAGTCCCAGCTACTCAGGAGGCTGAGGCAGGAGAATCGCCTGAACCTGGGAGGCAGAGGTTGCAGTGAGCCGAGATTGCACGAGATTGCGCCACTGCACTCCAGTCTGGGTGACAGAGCCAGACTCTGTCTCAAAAAAAAAAAAAAAAAAAAAAAAAATTAGCCAGGCATGGTGGTGTGTGCCTGTAGTCCAAGCTACTCGGGAGGCTGAGGCGAGAGAATCGCTTGAACCTGGGAGGCAGAGGTTGCAGTGAGCTGAGATCATGCCACTGCATTCCAGCCTGGGTGACAGAGTGAGACTGCATCTCAAAAAAAAAAAAAAAAAAAAGGCCAGGCATGGTGGCTCACGCCTGTAATCCCAACACTTTGGGAGGCTGAGGTGGGCGGATCACGAGATCAGGAGATGGAGACCATCCTGGCTAACACTGTGAAACCCCGTCTACTAAAAATACAAAAATTAGCCGGGTGTGGTAGCACGCGCCTGTAGAAGCTACTTGGGAGTTTAAGGCAGGAGAATCGCTTGAACCTGGGAGGCGGAGGTTGCAGTGAGCCGAGATCGCACCACTGCACTCCAGCCTAGGCGACAGAGCGAGACTCCGTCTAAAGAAAAAAAAAAAAAAAAAGGAAGAAGAGATGAGGGGGTCTCACTACGTTATGTTGCCCAGGCTGGTCTCGAACTCCTGGGCTCAAGTGATCCTCTCACCTTGGCCTTCTAAAGTAGTGGGATTACAGGCATGAGCCACTGCACCTGGTCTACCTTGAACTTCAGATTTCTCACGTCCCACTGTCCCCCGCCTGCCCTTGTCAAGGATGCTGTGCCCTCCCTGTGGTTAAGGCTTCTGCCTAGTTTTCTATCCTCATCGCAGTGCATCAGCAGCGTCTCGTGAGTTGACCCCTCCTCCTTGAAACCCTGGCTTCACTTGGTTTCTAGGGCACCATGCTCTTCTCATTTCCCTCTGATTTACCTCACAGGTGTGCCCTCCCAGTGTCTTGCCAGTTTCATTCACTCTCATTTCTTTGAGGTATGTGCACAATGTATCCTCCCTTCCCACTTCATGTTTTCTTTTGTTTTTTTTTTTTTTTTTTTGAGACGGAGTCTCGCTCTGTCGCCCAGGCTGGAGTGCAGTGGTGTGATCTCGGCTCACTGCAAGCTCCACCTCCGGGTTCACGCCATTCTCCTGCTTCAGCCTCCTGAGTAGCTAGGACTACAGGCGCCCGCCACCACGTCCAGCTAATTTTTTTTTTGTATTTTTAGTAGAGACGGGTTTCACTGTGTTAGCCAGGATGGTCTCCATCTCCTGATCTCGTGACCCGCCTGCCTCAGCCTCCCGAAGTGTTGGGATTACAGGCGTGAGCCACCACGCCTGGCCCTTTTTTTTTTTTTTTTTTTGAGATGCAGTCTCACTCTGTCACCCAGGCTGGAATGCAGTGGCATGATCTCAGCTCACTGCAACTTCTGCCTCCTGGATTGCAGCAATTCTCCTGCCTCAGCCTCCTGACTAGCTGGGATTACAGGTGTCCGCCACCATGCCCAGCTGATTTTTGTATTTTTGGTAGAGATGGGGTTTCACCATGTTGGCCAGGCTGGTTTTGAACCCCTTATCTCAGGTGATCCACCCACCTCGACCTCCCAGAGTACTGGGATTACAGGTGTGAGCCACCGTGCCTGGCCCCCACTTCTTGTTTCTAGCACCCATTAACACTTGACCTACTACATATTGTATTTATTCTTAGTCTCCTCCAACTAAAACATAAGCTCTATGGGGTTTGTTGTTCTGTTCCCGCCTGTATCTCAGTGTGGAGAAGTGCTCCCCACTTATTTGGCCCTCTCCAAATAGTTGTATTGCTATTTTTATTTTTATTTTTTTATTTATTTTGAGATGGAGTCTCACTTTGTCGCCCAGGCTGGAGTGCAGTGGCACAATTTCAGCTCACTCCAACCTTCGCCTCCCAGGTTCAAGCTATTCTCCTGCCTCAGCCTCCCAAGTATCTGGGACTGCAGGCACACACTACCATGCTGGACTAATTTTTGTATTTTTAGTAGAGACGGGGTTTCACCATATTGGTCAGGCTGGTCTCGAACTCCTGACCTCATAATCCACCCGTCTCAGCCTCCCAAAGTGCTGGGATTACCGGCGTGAGCCACCGCGCCCAGCCTATTTTTTCTTTGAGACGTAGTCTCACTCTGTTGCCCAAGCTGGAGTGCAGTGGCGCAATCTCGGCTTACTGCAACCTCTGCCTCCCGAGTTCAAGTGATTCTCCTACCTCAGCCTCCCAAGTAGCTAGGATTACAGGTCTGCACGACCACGATTGGCTAATTTTTGTGTTTTTAGCAGAGGTGGGGTTTTGCCATGTTGACCGGGCTGGTCTCAAACTCCTGACCTCAACTGATCCGCCCACCTTGGCCACCAAAGTGCTGGGATTACAGGCGTGAGGCACGATGCTTGGACCTCTCCAAGTACTTCTAGAATGAACAAAGCTCCACAAGAGATAGGCACCTGAATCCAGAGGAGCAGATACTGCTTAGCCATTGTCACAGATTTCTGCACCCTTAGGAGGCAGGAGAGGTGTCCAGGATGCTGTTGGGACTTCTGGTTATATCTGGTCAGCCCTGCTCTGACTGAAGCTGCAGCTGTGGCTCATGGTTCTGTACCCTGGGTCACTCTTCCCAATCTCTCTCCCCATGTTGACCAGGCTGGTCTCAAACTCCTGGCCTCAACTGATTCACCCACCTTGGCCCCCAGAGTGCTGGGATTATAGGCATGGAATTACATGGATTACAGTTTCCTGGAATGTCCCAAGTTAACTATGCCGAAGTTCCAGGATCAAGCTCTGTTTTTGTGAGGATTCAAGCTAAGGCAATGAGTAATAGAGGTAGCACTAGAAGACAGACCTAGCGATAGGAATCTAAAAGTAGATCACTTACCATTCGGAAGGCAACAAAGACACACACACACACACACACACAGTTGGTGATAACCTTGTGTCCTGAAGCATGAGACTCTTACCTGTGGTAGATAAGGAGATAGAAGTTGAAGAGAAAGCTTGGCTTATGCAGTAGCTTTGTCACTTGAAAGATGTGGAAGCAGCTGCTGTTGCAAGGATTATGGAGGTGGCTAGCTTTTCTAAATCACCTTAGCAGCTTTGAAGCAAGAGAATGAAAGATGCAGTTCAGCCTGCTATCTACTCAGAGTATGCTGTGAAAGGCAGGAACTCTCCCAAGACAACATGTAAAGAAAACCTTGCTTCCGTGGCCAGGAGGCAGAGCATGCTGAAAATGAGAACCAATATTTCATCACAAGAGCAGCAGAGCTGCAAAAGACACTTGTGCATCCTCAGCAGGTCTCCTGTACTAAAGTGGGGGCTTCTATTATTTTTATTTTTGTAGAGACGGGGATCTTGCTATGTTCCTCAGGCTGGTTTCGAACTCCTGGCCTCAACTGATCCACCTGCCATGGCCTCACAAACTTCTGGGATTACAGACATGAGCCACAGTAACCGGCCCATTGGGTGCTTTTAAAGGAATAAATGGGACTCTAGGCCTGACGTGGGATGTTTGGGTGGATGTACCAAAGAACCTTGAGCCCCCAGAGTCCCCTGAAGCATCCTGGCCAGCAGAAACTGCCTTCTTCCCATTGACAGAGGAGGACAGCTTCATCTAGCCTGGAGACAGTGCAGAGATCTCCCCGTTACAGGTGAGTACCCTGTAAGATAACACTAATCCTCCTCAAGATCCACCTCCTCTCATTGCCTCCAGACCAACAAGCAGGATCACATCTCAGCATAGCCCAAGCAGTGAAATATTTCCTACCCTAGGAGGAAATCACTCAGTCACCCAAAAAGTTGCAGGACCTGGGAGAACACTTGCGGGAGCGATCATGAGGGTACCAGATCCAGGTGGGGTACCAGATCCAGGCGGGGAGGGGGCAATAGAAGACCGGTGGGGCATTGATTGACAAGGGTGCATGCCCCAAGACTCAGGATTTAAAGTCCTGTCAAAGGACAGCTGGAGCTTGTCTTCACGCCAGACGGCTCCCGGAAGCTTGGACACCATAGTGGCCTACCATTAATGAGGTAGAGATGAAGGCTCAGGGAAGTGGGAATGTTAGAACGGATTTATTACATGAGACCAGAAGGTGTTTCATGGAGCTGCCCAGAGGAGGCGCTCTTCACTAAGGCAATGCAGAATGTGGACGTGAGGGGGCACTGGTGTCATAGAAAGCTGGTGGTGGCTGTGCTCTGTGGCTAGGAGATGCTGCCATGGAACTTGGCTCCTTAGTGTCTTGGGGATGACACGATTCTGGAATGGCATTTAACCATTCTGGATGGCAACATTTAACCCTCAGAAGCCAAGAGGGCTCTTATACTGTGTAGCAAGATTGGAATGGCAACTGTGGGAGGGGGAGTGCTTCTCAGGGATCTATGGCAATGATGATAATAGGTCATTGATGGGCAGCCAACCAAAGAAAGGGAGGCAGACAGTGACTGACAGAAAAGGTTGGGAACAAGGATGAGGGTCATGCTGCAGAGATCTGACAGTCTTCCGCTGACAGTGCCATACCCCTGTGGGAAAGACAGGAAAACCTCCAAATTAACTGAAATTCAGTTTCTACCACTACATTAGAGTGGCAGGTTTGACCTACAGATTGAATTACAGAAAGATATTTTAGGCCAGGTGCAGTGGCTCACGCCTGTAATCCCAGCCCTTTGGGAGGTTAAGGCAGGAAGATCGCTTGAAGCAAGAAGTTCAAGACCAGCCTGGGCAATATAATGAGACTCCCATCTCTACAAAAAGAAAATCAAAGAAAAAGAAATTTTGTTTTGTTTTTGAGAGAGTCTCGCTCTGTCACCCAGGCTGAAGTGCAGTGCTGTGATCTCAGCTCACTGCAACCTCCGCCTCCCAGATTCAAGTGATTCTCCTGCCTCAGCCTCCCAAGTAGCTGAGATTACAGGCACCCGCCACCACGCCTGGCTAATTTTTTGTATTTTTAGTAGAGACGGCATTTCACTGTGTTGGCCAGGATGGTCTCGATCTCCTGATCTCATGATCCACCTGCCTCGGCCTCCCAAAGTGCTGGGATCACAGATGTGAGCCACTGCGCCCAGCCAAAAGAAAAACATTTTAAAACCGTTTGAGAATGTGGAGTGAGCTATACCAGCCACAGGGACGAAGGAGGAGGCCAAGCAGTAAGAGATGCTAAGGAATGGCCTGTGGGGAAGTAAATGTGACGTATGCATCGGAAGCAGACTCAGCAAGCAGCAGTGACGAGACCAGGACCTCAACCTGCAGCTAGGCACTCTGAAGCCCCTAACACAGGTGACAGGTGGCGTCTGGGACTGTAACAAGTACCAGTAAAAATTGTCAGTGGCGGCCAGGAGCGGCAGCTCATGCCTGTAATCCCAGCACTTTGGGAGACGGAGGCGGGTGGATCACTTGAGGTCAGGAGTTCAAGACTAGCCTGGGCAACTTGGTGAAGCCCCATCTCTACTAAAAATACAAAAACTAGCTGGGCGAGGTGGCGCACACCTGTAGCCCCAGCAACTCGGGAGGCTGAGGCAGGAGAATCGCTTGAACCCGGGAGGCAGAGGTTGTAGTAAGACGAGATTACACCACTGCACCCCAGTCTGGGCAACAGAATGAGACTCGGTCTCAAAAAAAAAAAAATTGTCAGTGGCGATTGTGCAGGGATGGTTGTCCAAAATAGAATATTAGCCAGAAAAGCACAAGAAGCACAAATCTTTAGAGGAAAAACTGACCCTGCAAAGCCCAGAAGTCCTTGAGGCCGGGCGCAGTGGCTCATGTCTGTAATCCCAGCACTTTGGTAGGCTGAGGCGGGCAGATCGCCTGAGGTCAGGAGTTCAAGACCAGCCTGGCCAACATGATGAAACTCCATCTCTACTAAAAATACAAAAGTTAGCCGGGTGTTATGGCATCCACCTGTAGTCCCAGCTACTTGGGTGGCTGAGGCAGGAGAATCACTTGAACCCGGGAGGTGGAGGTTGCAGTGAGCCGAGATTGTGTCACTGCACTCCAGCCTGGGCGACAGTGCAAGACTCCATCTCAAAAAAACAAAAACAAACAACAACAACAACAAAAAACAGCCTGAGCAACATGGCCAGACTCCATCTTTACAAAAAAATTTTTTTAATTAGCCAGAGGTAGTGGCATGCACCTGTGGTCCCAGCTACTCTGGAGGCTGAGGCAGGAAAATCGCTTGAACCTGGGAGGTTGAGGCTGCAGTGAGCTATGATCACACCACTGCACTCCAGCCTGGGCAAAAGAGCAGGACTCTGTCTCAAAAAAATAAAAATAAAAGGTGCTTGAGAGAACGTGTGCAGGGTAAAAAGGGTGAAAAACATATGCGACTGTGCCACAGCCACAGGTCCCATGGAGGATCCATGCATTGGCCTTGTGTTGGCCAGGATGGAGCTGTGCCCTCCTTTCCGTAGGGGCCCCAGGGTGTCTGATTACAGCTGGCAGGGTGTTCTCCAGAAAGTTACCTGCCTGTCCCATGTCTGGCCAGGAGTACAGTGTTCACAACCACAGTCCCCACTTCTCTACTTTTCCTGCCTGCATCTTGCTTAGCTCCGAATGGCTTCCCACTATACACTTTAATCTTGCTCCTGCCAGACATGGTGGCACATAGCTGTGGTCCCAGCTACTTGGGAGCCTCAGATGGGAGGATGGCTCGAGCCCAAGAGTTCGAGCCTGCAGTGAGCCATGATTGTGCCCCTGTACTCCAGCCTGGGCAACCGAGCGAGACCCCATCTCTAATAAAAAAAAAAAAAGACCTAGCAATGTCCACACATCTAGCCGGTTCATCCTGTGACTGCAGGGTATTTCCCAGCGGGGGAGTGCCATGCTTTTCCTCTCTGCCTGATGGAAGGGGACAGTCAGGCTGGTCCCACTTTGGGGCCCTTTCATCACCCAGGCTCTGGTTCAAGGCATAGCCTAGCCCTCTCTCCTGGAGCTCCAGCTGGAGCAGCCACTGCTTCACTGGGCAGGAGGATGAGGGACATGAGAGGGTGGCCCCAAATCAGGGCTGATGATGGAGGTGGCCCCGGCAGGTCTCTGCTCTGACCTGGGGGCCTCATTTCTGCTCCTCAGCCCAGGTGGTGGCTCGATGAGCAGCATTACCACAGGTCTGGGGCCTGGATCTGGATCTCAGCCCGTCAGAAGTGTGAAAGCCACACAAGGAGCTCCTTGACCCTGCCATGGCGGTTGCCACAGCAATGCCTCCCTGGTCCCCTTTGCAGCTATGCAGAGAGATGGGGACATCAGTACCCTGCAGACAGAGGGGAAATGGCCTATGCAAACCCAGTACAAAGCATATTTTTAAACCTAGGGTAATAATTAACACTCGCCCGGCACAGTGGTGCCCACCTGTAGTCCTAGTCACTCTGAAGGCTGAGTCGGGAGGACCACTTGATCCCAGCAGTTTGAGGCTGCGGTAAGCTATGATTGCTATGAGCTACAAGCAAGACCCCATCTTAAAAACCCCAAAAAACCTTGCTCCTGCCTCAACCATCATCTCCAACACTTGTGTGTTGGTCTCAACTCTCCTATGACACTCTCGAGACAGTCCCACCCTTAATGATGCCCCTGGCCTGGGCAGTCTGGAAGCACCCCTTCTCTGCATGGCCTTGCTTGCTGCCTATGCTCACACATGTCAAAAAGAGGGTCCAGGCCAGGGGTGGTGGCTCATGCCTGTAATCCAAACATTTTGGGAGGCTGAGGTGGGCGGATCACTTGAGATCAGGAGTTCGAGACCATCCTGGCCAACATGGTGAAACCCCATCGCTATTAAAAATACAAAAATTAGCTGGGTGTGTTGGTGTGCACCTGTAATCCCAGCTACTTGGAAGGCTGAGGCAGAGAATCACTTGAACCCAGGAGGCAGAGGTTGCAGTGAGCTGAGATCGTACCACTTGCACTCCAGCCTGGGCGACACAGTGAGACTGTGTCTCAAAAAAAAAAAAAAAAAAAAAAAAAAAGGAAGGTCTAGATAACTTAGAAGCCTGGCCTAGTTCTTTCCCACGTGCACATGGGAAATGATGGCTGCAGAAGCCTGGTGGCCACTGGAGTGGACTGTGTAGGGACCAAAGGCCCATGACAGCCTGCTGGGTCTCCAGGAACAGTGGAAAGAAGGAAGCCTATGCTGAGACGGGATGGGCCTCGTGTGGGGCTGGGGAGCATGAGTGGCCCCAGGCTGGGCCTGCACAGGCTGCCCCTGGAGCCACAGAGCAAGGGCTTTGGCCCCTGCCACACTGGAAGCCATCGTCAGTGGTGTGTCTGCTGCTTTCTGTTCCCTCCTAAGATACCGCACATATAAAAACCTAACAATACTGTAATATCAAATACTTAGTCTATTTTCTCCCAGTCCTGTGTATGTCCTGAGAAGGGAAAGGCAGGTGGCAGGGGCAGTGGGAGCTGGGACTCGCAAACCTCAAGCCGACCTGTGGGGAGACAGAGATCAACCAGTCACAATGCGAGGTCTTCATTTGCCTCTTGATTCAAACAAACCTAACAAAACAGAACAACATATACCACCAACAAAGGCAACACATAAGACAACTGGAGAAGAGTGAAAATGGACCAAATATTTTTTTTTCTTTTTTTTGAGACAGAGTCTCATTCTGTCACCCAGGCTGGAGTGCAGTGGCGCAGTCTCGGTTCACTGCAACCTCCGCCTCCTGGGCTCAAGCTATTCTCCTGCCTCAGCCTCCCAAGTAGCCAGGAGTACAGGCGCACGCCACCACGCCCAGCTAATTTTTGTATTTTTTAGTAGAGATGGGGTTTCACTATATTGGCCAGGCTGGTCTCAAACTCCCGACCTCATGATCAGCTTGCCTCGGCCTCCAAAAGTGCTGGGATTACAGACATGAGCCACCGTCCCCAACTGGATCAAATATTTTCTATTGCAGTATTCTTAGATTTCTACTGCGGTATTGTTAGATGCATGCATGACATGTATAGATTAGGATTATAGGTTTTTTTTATCCTTATCTTTTGAAGATATTACTAGAGTGTTTACAGATAAAGGGATATGATGTCTGCCATTTGTTTCCAAGTAGTCTGGGAAGTCAGTAGAGAAAATGGGTGGGTCTATATAGGAAAAAATTTGGTCATCAATTATTATAGAAACTGGATGATGAGCACCTGTAATCCCAGCACTTTGGGAGGCCGAGGCAGGCGGATCACGAGGTCAGGAGATCGAGACCATCCTAGTCAACATGGTGAAGCCCCGTCTCTACTAAAAATACAAAAAAATGAGCTGGACGTGGTGGCAGGTGCCTGTAGTCCCAGCTACTCGGGAGGCTGAGGCAGGAGAATCGCTTGAATCCGGGAGATGGAGGTTGCAGTGAGCCCAGATAGCACCACTGCACTGTGGCGACAGAGCGAGACTCCATCTAAAAAAAAAACAAAAAGGAACTGGGTGATGAGTACATGAGGGTTTATAATACTGTTCTCACTAATTTTGTTTATGGTTGGATATTTTCTATGATAAAATTTTTTTCAGGCTGGGGGCAGTGGCTCACACCTGTAATCCCAAAACCTTCGGAGGCCGAGGCAGGCGGATCACCTGAGGTCGGGAGTTCGAGACCAGCCTGACCAGCATGGAGAAACCCCGTCTCTACTAAAAATACAAAATTAGCCAGGCATGGTGGCACATACCTGTAATCCCAGCTACTCAGGAGGCTGAGGTAGGAGAATCACTTGAACCCAGGAGGCGGAGGTTGTGGTGAGCTGAGATCGTGCCATTGCACTCCAGCCTGGACAACAGTGGGCAACAAGAGCGAAATTCTGTCTCAAAGAAAAAGAAAAAAAAATTTTTTTTTCATTGGCTGGGCGTGGTGGCTCACTTCTGTAATCCAAGCACTTTGGGAGGCTGAGGCAGGCAGATCACCTGAGGTCAGGAGTTCAAGACTAGCCTGACCAACATGGTGAAACCCCGTCTCTACTAAAAATACAAAACTTAGCTGGGCATGGTGGTGCGTGCCTGCAGTCCCAGCTGCTCAGGAGGCTGAGGCAGGAGAATCACTTGAACCTAGGAGGCAGAGGTTGCAGTGAGCTGAGATCGCGCCATTGCAGTCCAGCCTGGGTGACGGAGCGAGACTCTGTCTCAAAAAAAAAAAAAAGAAAAGAAAAGAAAATCACCCTCAGTTCCCTCAGAAAGATAGAAGCAATTTAATTTGAAGTCAGCAACAAGAAAGCCAAATGCAAAAAACTCTACAAATTATTAGCAAACCAAATTCAACAATGTATTGAAGTGGCAATTTGTCATGAGCAAGCTGAGTTTATCCTAGGACTACAAAGGTGACCAATGTTAGGAAAAAATCTATAAATATAATATATACATAAACAGATTAAAAGAGAAAAAGCAGGCTGGGCGCAGAGGCTCACACCTGTAATCCCAGCATTTTGGGAGGATGAGGTCGGCAGATCACTTGAGTCCAGGAGTTTGAGACCAGCCTGGACAACATGGCGAAACCCCATCTCTACAAAAAAATTAGCTGGGCATGGTGGCATGTGCCTCCCATCTACTTGGGAGGCTGACGTGGAAGAATCACTTGAGCACAGGAGGTCAAGGCTGCAGTGAGCTATGATTGAACCACTGCACTTCAGCCTGGGCAACAACACAAGACCCTCTCTTAAAAAAAAAAAAAAGGAAACAAAAGGAAAACAAGAGAAAAGCCATACGATCTCAATAGATACAGAAAAATCATTTGAGGCCAGGTGCGGTGGCTCATGCCTGTAATCCCAGCACTGTGGGAGGCCAAGGTGGGTGAATCACTTGAGGTCAGGAGTTTGAGACCAGCCTGGGTAACATGGTGAGACCCTGACTCTACTAACAACACAAAAATTAGCCAGGCATGATGGCACAAGACTGTACTCCCAGCTATTCGGGAGGCTGAGGTGGGAGGATCGCTTGAGTCCAGAAGGTCAAGGCTGCAATGAGCTGTGATCCTGCCAGTATGCTCCAACCTGGGCGACAGAGTGAGACCCTGTCTCAAACAACAACAACAACAAAAGGCTGGGCACAGTGGCTCACGCCTGTAACCCCAGCACTTTGGGAGGCCAAGGCCAGTGGATCACGTGAGGCCAGGAGTTTGAGACCAGCCTGGGCAACTTGGTGAAAACCCATCTCTAGTAAAAATACAAAAATTAGACAGGTGTGATGGCACACACTACTTTGGAGGCTGGGGCATGAGTTGCTTGAACCCAGGAGGCGGAGGTTGCAGTGAGCCAAGATCGTGCCACTGCGCTCCAGCCTGAGCAACAGAGGAAGACTCCGTCTCAGATAATAATAAATTAATAAATACTACAATTTGTTTATTCATTCACCCGTTGATGGAAATTATTTATGTTGTTCCCAGGTTTGGCTATTATAAATAAAGCTGCGTCATGCCTGTAATCGCAGCACTTTGAGAGCCTGAGGCAGGAGAATCATTTGAACCCAGGAATTTGAGACCAGCCTGGGCAACAAATTGAGACTCTGTCTCTATTAAAAAAAAAAAAAATTAAATTTAGCCAGATGCATGGGCGCAGTGGTTCACACCTGTAATCCTAGCATTTTGGGAGGCTGAGGCAGGCAGATTACTGAGGTTGGGAGTTCAAGACCAGTCTGGCCAACATTGTGAAACCCTGTCTCCACTAAAAATGTAAAAAATTAGCCATGTGCAGTGGCGTGCACCTGTAGTCCCAGCTACTTAGGAGGCTGAGGCAGAAGAATCACTTGAACCCGAGAAAGTGGAGGCTGCGGTAAGCTGAGATCGCACCACTGCACTCCAGCCCTGCGCTACAGAGCAAGACTTCTTCTCAAAAAAAAAAAAAAAAAATGGCTGGGCGCAGTGGTTCACGCCTGTAATCCCAGCACTTTGGGAGTCCAAGGCGGGCAGATCACGAGGTCAGGAGACCGAGACCATCCTGGCTAACATGGTAAAACTCCGTCTCTACTAAAAACACAAAAACTTAGCCAAGTGGGAGTGGTGGTGGGTGCCTGTAGTTCCAGCTACTAGGGAGGCTGAGGCAGGAGGATCCCTGGAACCCGGGAAGCGGAGCTTGCAGTGAGCCGAGATTGCATCACTGCACTCCAACCTGGGCAACAGAGCGAGCTTCTGTCTCTAAATAAATAAATAAATAAATAAATAAAATAATTAGCCAGATGCAGTGGTATATGTCTATAGTCCTAGCTACTGGGGAGGCTGAGGCAGGAGGATGGCTTGAGTCCAGGAGTTCGAGGCTGCAGTGAGCCATGATCGTACTACCGCACTCCAGTCTAGGTGACAGAGTGAGACCCTGTCTCAAAAAAAAAAAAAAAGATACATAAATAAATGAAGAACTGCTTTGAGTTCTTTTGGGTATATACACAGAAGCAGAATTACTACATATAGTTCTGTGTTAAATATTTTGAGGAGCCTCCATACCATTTTCCACAGCAGCTGTATCTTTTTCCATTCCCACCAACAGTGCACAAGGGTTCCAGTTTCTCCACATCCTTACAACACTTATTTTCTTTTTCTTTTTTTATTTTTTTGAGACAGAGTTTCGCTCTTGTCACCGAGGCTGGAGTGGAATGGCACGATCTTGGCTCACTGCAACCTCTGCCTCCCGGGTTCAAGTGATTCACCTGCTTCAGCCTCCTGAGTAGTGGGGATTACAGGTGCCCGCCACCACACCTAGCTAATTTTTGTATTTTTTTTAGTAGAGACGGTGGGGGGTTTCACCATGTTAGCCAGGCTGGTCTTGAATTCCTGACCTCAGGTGATCTGCCCGCCTTGGCCACCCAAAGTGCTGGGATTACAGGCGTGAACCACCGCGCCCAGCCAACACTTGTTATTTTCTGTGGCTTTAATACTAGCCATCCTGATGGGTGTGAGGTGGTACCCCACTGTGGTTTTGTGTTTCCTGTCTTTCGTTAATACAATTAATACTGCAATGAGGCTGGGTGCGGTGGCTTGCATGGTGGCTCACTTTGGGGGGCCGAGGCCGGCAGATCACCTGAAGTCAGATCACCTGAGGTCGCGAGTTCGAGACCAGCCTCACCAACATGAAGAAACCCCATCTCTACTAAAAATACATTAGCCAGGCATGGTGGCGCATGCCTGTAATCCCAGCTACTCGGGAGCCTGAGGCATGAGAATCGCTTGAGCTGGGGAGGCTGAGGTTGTGGTGAGCCGAGATGGCGCCATTGCTCTCCAGCCTGGGCAACAAGAGTGAAACCCTGGCCAAAAAAAAAAAAAAAAAAAAAACCGCAATGAAAAGCCTTGAGTATAAGGTAGGGTGCTCAATCTTCCTCCTAATCACAGAAATGTAAAATAAAAATTAAAAATAAACTAAGAGCCATCCTGGCCAACATGGTGAAACCCCATCTCTACTAAAAATACAAAAATTAAGGCCAGGCACGGTGGCTCATGCCCGTAATCCCAGCACTTTGGGAGGCCGAGGCCGGTGGATCACGAGGTCAAGAGATCGAGGCTATCCTGGCCAACATGGTGAAACCCTGTCTCTACTAAAAATACAAAAAATTATCTGGGCGTGGACCTGTAGTCCCAACTACTCGGGAGGCTGAGGCAGGAGAATCACTTGAACCCGGGAGGCAGAGGTTGCAGTGAGCCGAGATTGCGCCACTGCACTCCTGCCTGGGCGACAGAGCAAGACCCTGTCTCAAAAACAAACAAAGAGGCCGGGGGCGATGGCTCATGTCTGTAATCCCAGCACTTTGGGAGGCCGAGGCAGGTGGATCACAAGGTCAGGAGTTCAAGACCAGCCTGGCCAACATGGTGAAATCCCGTCTCTACTAAAAATACAAAAATTGGCCAGTTGTGGTGGTGCATGCCTGTAATACCCAGCTTCTTGGGAGGCTGAGACAGGAGAATCGCTTGAACCCGGGAGGCAGAGGTTGCAGTGAGCACCGCACTTCAGCCTGGGAGATGAGAATCCGCCTCAAAAAAAAAAAAAAAAAAAAAAAAAAAGGAGATCTCTGCTCTCTTGACGGATTAGCAAAAACCCAAGAGTTTGCAACATCCACTGCCAGCAAGGCTGGGGGAGGGCACTCACATAAATGCTGAAGAAAATGCACGATGGAGCAATTCCTACGGGGAGCAAAACTGCGTGTGCCTTCACCCTCTGATCAGGCAATTCCACTTCACGGAATGTATCTCAAACACGCACCGATTTCCCTCTGTCATAAATAGCCCTGACATAAGGCGCTTGGTAGTCACTGTGGTGCTTTCCTCAGGGTCCCCTCCCACAGGCGGCTACTGAGGTCATTTTATCAGGCCCCCTGGGCTCACCTTTTGTTCCATCCCGCACAGGTGAGCCGTCTGGGCAGGCTTTGGCCAGCTTCGCGCAGGTGCCACTGCACAGACTCTCCCTTCAGAGCAGCGCTGGAGGACGGGGTCAGGAGTCAGTGCACAAATCCCTCCTGTCCTTGGGGCCGGGCAGCCACCGCGGCGGGGAGACCCCTCGCTAAGGAGGAGTGTTGGTGTTGCCTCTACTCGCCGGGTCGCCCAGGGCCCTTCACTTCCGAATCAACTCCCCACAGCCGCTGCTTTCAGGGGAAGCCAAGCCAAGTCACATACGGCACGCGCACTGGATCAAAATAATACACGCCTCGACATGCGCCAGACGGTATGTCTAGTATTTAAAGAGCAGGGCTGAAAATGAAAGGTCCTTACCCGGCTTCCTTGCGATTTTCCCACTGCTTCCCCGCGCCAGGGCCGCCTCCTCCGCGGTGCGCGGGAGTTCGGGGAGCGCGCGCCCCCTGCCGGCCGGCCGGAGCGCGGGGCGGGTTTCGCGCCCTCCGTGACCTGGTAGAGCTTGGAATTGCTTCGCTTGTTCTCGCCCGAGGCTACTTTGAGGTTCTAAGTGACTCCCCGTTCCCCGGGTGCCTCGCCGTCGAGAAGCCCAAAGCTTCTCCATCTCCAGCGCTGGATGAGGCTCCCCTAGTTTTCCTTCTGCCCAGATACCCTGTGCTCTCACACAGGTCGTGCTCATGGCGGGGAACCGGGACTGCCGTTGTACGTGGCCTGGAGCTCACTTCCGCTCTCCCCCTCGCTGGACCTCTGACCGCAGGTCTCTGAGTCTGTTTCTTGGAGATTTGGGATAGCTGGGAGGCCCCATGAGAGCGAGACGGTGAAGCTACCAGCAATGGGGTCTGGTTCTGATGTAGCCATTGACCCCAGCTTGCACAGCTGAGCTTGCACATTCCTCCTCTCCTCCCCAGCCCCTGCCCCCGCTCCCAGCTGTGGCTGCCCCATGTCCTCTCCAGACCACCCCGCACAGCTGTGGCTGCCCCATGTCCTCTCCAGACCACCCCGCACAGCTGTGGCTGCCCTCCCAGCCTCCCTCTCACACCGCTCTGTGTGACTTTGTCCTGTGCTTGCTCCTGACACATGGACTTCGCTTTATCTTTCTTTTTTTTTTTTTAATTTTAATTAAAAAAAAAATTTTTTTTTTTGAGACAGAGTTTCTCTTTTGTTGCCCAGGCTGGAGTGCAATGGCGCACTTTCGGCTCACAGCAACCTCTTCCTCCTGGGTTCAAGCGATTCTCCTGCCTCAGCCTCCCGAGTAGCTGGGATTACAGGCATGTACCACATGCCCGGCTAATTTTGTATTTTTAGTAGAGACAGGGGTTCTCCATGTTGATCAGGCTGGTCTCGAACTCCTGACCTCAGGTGAACCGCCCACCTCAGCCTCCCAAACTGCTGGGATTGCAGGCATGAGCCACCGCGCCCGGCCTCAATTTATCTTTTATACTTGCCCAGGGCCAAAGGGAAGTCTTACATTAGTCAAACTCACCAGATTCAGTAAAAACTCAACCCTAAAATAATTATTTGAGACCGTGCAGTGGCTCACGCCTATAAGCCCAACAATTTGGAAGGCTCAGAGGTAGGCTTACTTGAGCCCAGGACCTCAAGACCAGCCCAGGGGGCCAGGCGCCGTGGCTCACGCCTGTAATCCCAGCACTCTGGGAGGCCCAGGTGGGTGGATCATGTGGTCAAGAGATCGAGACCATCCTGGCCGACATGGGGAAACCCCGTCTTTACTAAAAATACAAAAATTAGTGTGATGGCGCCCGCCTATAGTCCCAGCTACTTGGGAGGCTGAGGCAGGAGAATTGCCTGAACCCGGGAGGTGGAGGTTGCAGTGAGCCGAAATCGTGCCACTGACTCCAGCCTGGCGACAGAGTGAAACTCTTGTCAAAAAAAGAAGAAGAAGAAAAAAAAAGAAACCCAGAAAACAAAACGAGTCTTCGTCTCTACAAAAAATTAAAAAATACTTAAAAAATAATTACTTGGGTGTGGTGGCACCTGCCTGTGGTCCCAGCCAGCTGGGAAGTTGAGATGGGAGGATAGCTTGGGCCCAGGAGTTGGAGGCTCCAGTGAACTGTGATTGTGCCACTGGACTCCAGCCTGCGTGACACAGCAAGATTCCACTTCTAAAAAATAATTATAATCTGTCAAATTTCGGGACAGATAATCTTGGCCTCCCAGCCCAAGATTTGATTTGATTTCATTTTATTTTAGAGACGGAGTCTCGCTTTGTCGCCCAGGCTGGAGTACAATGGCACAGTCTCAGCTTACTGTAAACTCCACCTCACGCGTTCAAGCTATTCTTCTGCCTCAGCCTCTTGAGTAGCTGGGATTACAGGCGCGTGCCACCATACTCAGCTAATTTTTGTATTTTTAATAGAGATGGGGTTTCACCATGTTGGTCAGGCTGGTCTCGAACTCTTGACCTCGTGATCCGCCCACCTAGGCCTCCCAAAGTGCTGGGATTACAGGGGTGAACCATCCCGCCTGGCCAAGTTTTTATTTTAACAACTACTGTGTGTGAGAGAAGGGGGTGGGCTAGAGTAGGGTAATATGTACACGCTATGGCTGAAACAGAAAAATGGTAACTTTATTTTCTACTTCCCAGCATGCCCTGCTCTGAGCCCTCATTCCTAGTGAAGGTGGAAACAGAGCAAACTTGCTCTTGTATGGATTTAATTTAGTCTTTTTTTGTAATTACTCAGCCTTTCAGGTTGCTTTCTTCTCCGCTGCTCATTCTGTAGCAGACACTGGGTTGCCTACATAATCCCTTTTCCCCATTCTTTGCCAAGACCTCTGACTTTCTTTGGGATCCACCCTTGGAGAAGGTGCCTCTTGTCCTGGTTCAGGGACATATCCTGACGTGTCTAAGCCAATCACTGTAATGCCATTTCTCTCACCTCGGTTGGCTGGGGTGTGCATGAGACCAATTTCTGACCATGAAAACTCATGGATGTCTGCCATGGGGTCCATTCTTGAAAAGAAACACAAGTGGCCGGGCGCAGTGGCTCACGCCTGTAATCCCAGCACTTTGGGAGGCCGAGGCAGGCGCATCACGAGTTCAGGAGATCGAGACCATCCTGGCTAACACGGTGAAACCCCGTCTCTACTAAAAATCCAAAAAAAAATTAGCCAGGCGTGGTGGCGGGCGTCTGTAGTCCCAGCTACTCGAGAGGCTGAGTTGGGAGAATGGCGTCAACCCGGGAGGCGGAGCTTGCAGTGAGCACAGATCCTGCCACTGCACTCCAGCCTGGGGAACACACGGAGCAAGACTCCATCTCAAAAGACAAAAAAAAAAAAAGGAAAAAAGAAAAAAAAAAGTAAGGAGCCACCCACAGAATGAGGGAAAATATTTGCCAACAACTAATGGAACAACTCAATTCAAAAATGCATGAAGGGGGCCTGGTGCAGTGACGCATGCCTGTAATCCCAGCACTTTGGGAGTCTGAGGTGGGTGGATCACGAGGTCAGGAGTTTGGGACTAGCCTGACCAACATTGTGAAACTCCGTCTTTACTAAAAATGCAGAAATTAGCTGGGCATGGTGGAGTGCGCCTGTAATCCCAGCTACTCAGGAGGCTGAGGCAGGAGAATCGCTTGAACCCGGGAGGCAGAAGTTGCAGTGAGCCGAGATCGCGCCATTGCACTGCAGCCTGCGTGACAGAGGGAGACTCCGTCTAAAATGAATGAATAAATAAATAAACGAACAAAAAAGCATGAAGGGGCCGGACCCGGTGGCTGAGACAGGTGGATCACTTGAGGCCAATAGTTCAAGACCAGCCTGGGCAACACAGCAAACCCCATCTCTACAGAAAATACAAAAATTCGTCAGGCATGGTGGTGTGTGTCTGTGGTCCCAGCTACTGGGGAGGTTGAGGCAGAAGGACTGCTTGAGCCTGAGAGGCAAAAAAAAAAAAAAAAAAAAAAAAAAAAATAGCTGGTGGTTCATGCCTGTAATCCCAGCACTTTGGGAGGCCAAGGCCAGCAGATCACTTGAGGCCAGGAGTTCGGGACCAGCCTAGGCAGTGGTGGCGAGCGCCTGTAATCCCAGTTACCCGGGAACCTGAGGCAGGAGAATCACTTGAACCTGGGAGGTGGAGGTTGCAGTGAGCCAAGATCGCGCCACTGTACTCCAGCTTGGGCAATAAAGTGAGACTGTCTCAGACAAACAAACAAACAAATGAAAAGGCTGGGCGGGGTGGCTCAACGCCTGTTATCCCAACACTTTGAGAGGCCGAGGCGGGCGGATCACGAGGTCAGGAGATCGAGACCATCCTGGCTAACATGATGAAACCCCATCACTACTAAAAAAAAAAAAAAATTAGCAGGACGTGGTGGCGGGCGCCTATAGTCCCAGCTACTCGGGAGGCTGAGGCAGGAGAATGGCGTGAACCCAGGAGGCGGAGCTTGCAGTGAGCCGAGATCACACCACTGCACTCCAGCCTGGGCAACAGAGTGAGACTCCGCCGTCTCAAAAAAAACAAAAAAAAAAAACAAAAACACCAGGTGTGGTGGCTCACACCTGTAAACCCAGCACTTTGGGAGGCGGATGCAGGCAGATCACGAGGTCAAGAGATTGAGACTATCCTGGTCAACATGGTGAAACCTTGTCTCTACTAAAAATACAAAAATTAGTCGGGCGTGGTGGCACACACCTGTAGTCCCAGTTACTTGGGAGACTGAGGCAGAAGAATCACTTGAACCCGGGAGGCGGAGGTTGCAGTGAGTCGAGATCGCGCCACTGCACTCCAGTTTGGGTGACAGAGCAAGAGCCCATCTCAAAAAAAAAGAATCCTTCTAAGTAGTTTATCAGCTTAAGCCATGTTGGCTGAACATTAAGACTGTCAAATCCTAAGGAACAAAATAATATTAAAATTAGGAAGAATTATTTTGCCATAGGATAAAATAGAAATACTGCCATACATTTGACTCATTTGTTTGAAAATCTTTATATGGTTGTTGCTTCATTTAAAAACCAGACCTCACAAACCTGACCCAAGTTATGTGCAAAATAATGTGCCAGTTGCACAGCCCCTGGAGGCCAGTGTGAGCCCACATGCCTCTGCTGGTTTATTTCTAGAGTCCACTCGCTGTGGGTCTTGATCATGTTTCCAAAATAGGGAAGTCACCCATCTCTATTTCAGGCCTTGTTGCCAATGAAATTTTAAACTATGACATTGATACCATTTGACTAGACAATAACTAAAATTGAACAAAGAAGATATTTTCCTCTCATTGGAGGTTGCAGCATTTTATTCAGGTTTACAATTTGTGATTCATCCAGCCGTGGTGGCTCAAGCCTATAATCCCAGCACTTTGAGAGGCTGAGGTGGGCAGATATCTCAAGGTCAGGAGTTCAAGACAAGCCTGGCCAACATGGTGACACCTTCTCTCGACTAAAATTACAAAAATTAGCTGGGTGCGGTGGCACAAGCCTGTAATCCCAGTTACTCGGGAGGCTGAGGCAGGAGAATGGCTTGAATCCGGGAGGCGGAGGTTGTGGTGAGCCAAGATGGTGCCACTGCACTCCAGCCTGAGCAACAGAGTGAGACTCCATCTAAAAAAAAAAAAAAAAATTGTGATTGTGTAAACTGTGACTCAGGGAACTGCAGAGAACAGAAGTTTGCAGGTCTACACGTGGAATCTGCAGTTCTGTTAGGAGAGACTGGCATTGCAAAAGAGCAGCAATTCCTGAGCATCTTCCCCAGCAGAGAGCCCATTCTGGGGGCAATGTTGACAATGACCCAGAGTCTCTGGGTTCTCCAGTGGGGTGCACAGCTGATGTTATCCCTCCTGTGCTGGCAGTTTTCTAAGTGAGTTCAGATCCTCTAGGAAGGAAGATCTGTGTGTGCAGCGCTGTGGAAGAGGTCTCTGTGGGCGCCAAGCCTCCCAAGGAGATTTACGGGCTCCAGGGACTGGAGGTTTGGACCCCATCTCCTTCTCTCCCAATCCATTAGAACACGCATTTCCAGCATCTGTGGGGTGCCCAGATGAGGGGACGCGCCTCCAAGTTGTCCTCAGGAGATTCCCAATTGTTCGTGGATGTCGGATATTCGGTGTCCATGGGAGTGTCTGGGATTTTGGTGTCTTGTGCGTCCAGCAGCGTTGGCACATCCAGGCTGAGGAAAGCGGGACCCCTGCCTCCGCCTGCCTGCATGTGGGGTCTCCCTAGAAAGAAGCCTTTGGTAGGTGGGTGGGAAGATTAGGGTGCTTGAATGGGTACTGTGAGGAGGTGCAGTGGCACCAGGCTCTAGCAGCCTCCTGCCTCCAGGAGAGGCCCAGGTTGGGATCACTGCAGCGACCAACGCCTCGGATCACTCGAGGGCTAGAAGGCACCCACCAGGTGTGTGGACAGGAGCGCTCAGGGGCCTTGCACATTGGGCATATTATGGCGTCAGTTTCGGAATCAGCCTGCATGGAGTCGGACCAGGACACCCAGCCAGGATTCCGTCGTCGGGGAAGGGAACGCCCACATGGCTTGTGTGAAGGACATTCCAGGGGACGCAAAGGCTCTGGTGGCTGAGAGGAGCTGAGGGATGACAGATACCCCAAGGATTCTGTGGAGCTGGTCAGGTTTGGTGATAGGGTGCTCGCAGGTGGCCGGTGTGAAGGGTGCTTCAGGGGACACAGAGGCTCTGATGCCTGGGAGGAGCTCAGGGATGATGGAGACCCAAGGGACTCTATGGAGGTCTTCGGGACTGATGACGGCATGGAGGCCAGAGGAGCCAGGGGAGCCCGTGGGGACACATGGAAGCTGGTGGGAGAAGCTTTCCCACGCCCCCCACGTGGCCGGTGGTTCCTAGCAGGTGCTGGTTTGTACACTGGCCCTGGGCGGACTTGGCGTGGAAGGTGATGGGAGCTGCCCTCCCTAGAGAGCTTCTTCAGGCGCCTGCAGGAGACAGGAGGCACAGGCTGCAGCCGGGAGCACTGGGCACCTGTGGACCTCCAGGGCCCCCCTGCTGACTTCACAAAGCTCTGCCTACCCCTGCCCAGGGCTTTAGTGACATCACGGCTGTGATCTCCCCTCCCAGATCAGCCCTAGGCCCTGGGGTGGCATCCTAGGTCCTGGTAGGAAGGAGGACACGGGAGGGAAGAGGAAAGAGCCTCACTTTTCCAGCAGGAGAGTGTGGTCCTTAGTGTTCTCTAGTTCTTTCAAGAGACTTCTGCAAGCTGGAAAGCAGGAGATGGGTTATGGTGGTGAGGGAGGGATTAACACTTGAATAAGTGGACTGCAAAGCAAAGACGCTCAGTCTGGCCAGGAGGGGGTGACTACCTCCCACAGGCCCCCGAGTGGTGGGTGCATCCCACGCCAACCTCTCCTGGCCGGGCTGTCCCCTGGTAAAATGAGGTGGGAGCACTGGCCAGCAGATGAGGGCAGAATCCCACCCTCCTGGCCCCACAAAAGGATGGAGCCCTGTGCAGCAAAGACTTCAGGAGGCGGCCAGATGTGGTGGCTTATGCCTGTAATTCCAGCACTTTGGGAGGCCAGGGCAGGCGGATCATCTGAGGTCAGGAATTTAAAGGCAGCCTGGCCAACATTGTGAAACCCCATCTCTACTAAAAATACAAAAAATTAGCCGGGCGTGGTGGCGGGCACTTATATTCCCAGCTACTCCAGAGGCTGATGCAGGAGAATTGCTTGAACCCGGGAGGTGGAGGTTGCAGTGAGCTGAGATTGCGCCACTGCACTCCAGCCTGGGCAACAGAGCGACTCCATCTCAAAAAAAAAAAAGAGGGCCTCCCGAGGTGCCGGGATTGCAGACGGAGTCTCGCTCACTCAGTGCTCAATCTTGCCCAGGCTGGAGTGCAGTGGCGTGATCTCGGCTAGCTACAACCTCCACCTCCCAGCCGCCTGCCTTGGCCTCCCAAAGTGCCGAGATTGCAGCCTCTGCCCGGCCGCCACCCCGTCTGGGAAGTGAGGAGCGTCTCTGCCTGGCCGCCTATCGTCTGGGAAGTGAGGAGCCCCTCCGCCCGGCAGCCACCCCGTCCGGGAGGGAGGTGGGGGGTCAGCCTCCGCCCGGCAGCCGCCCCGTCCAGGAGGGAGGTGGGGGGCGCCTCTGCCCGGCAGCCCCGTCTGGGAGGTGAGGAGCCCCTCTGCCCGGCCACCACCCCATCTGGGAGGTGTACCCAACAGCTCATTGAGAACGGGCCATGATGACGATGGCGGTTTTGTGGAATAGAAAGGGGGGAAAGGTGGGGAAAAGATAGAGCGATCGGATTGTTGCTGTGTCTGTGTGGAAAGAAGTAGACATGGGAGACTTCATTTTGTTCTGTACTAAGAAAAATTCTTCTGCCTTGGGATCCTGTTGATCTATGACCTTACCCCCAACCCCGTGCTCTCTGAAACATGTGCTGTGTCCACTCAGGGTTAAATGGATTAAGGGCGGTGCAAGATGTGCTTTGTTAAACAGATGCTTGAAGGCAGCATGCTCCTTAAGAGTCATCACCACTCCCTAATCTCAAGTACCCAGGGACACAAACACTGCGGAAGGCCGCAGGGTCCTCTGCCTAGGAAAACCAGAGACGCTTGTTCACATGTTTATCTGCTGACCTTCCCTCCACTATTGTCCTATGACCCTGCCAAATCCCCCTCTGCCAGAAACACCCAAGAATGATCAATTAAAAAAAAAAAAAAAAAGAAAAAGAAAAAAGCTCCCGGAGGCGTCGTCCCTGGGAGCTTTTCTCCAGCCTCATAGCCCGCCTTGCGCCCAAGTGACAGCACGTAGCTTTCCTTTTGTGAGGGGAGCCCACAGGATTCACTCCCTTTTCCTATTTCCTCCGGGGTGAAGCCTCATGTGTCGGGACAATGTGGGATCAGGGACTGTCTGGGTGACCCTGGCGAGCCTCTCCTCACGGAGTTCTAGCGGCCATCAGGGAAAGGGGAGCACGCCCAGGGCAGCCGCCCCCAGGGGTGTTTGGATACAGGCCAGGAGCAGGCTGCTCTGTGATGGTGGGGCGGGGGGTGATGAGACTCCCCTGAGAGGCTCCCTTGGGCGCTGGAAAGATGGGACATGGGGAACCACCTCCTGCCTGGACCAGTTGATGCCCAGAGCCACTCCCCTGGGTCCTCATAGCTCCTTCCAGGAAGTGGGGATGTGGGTTTCCAGGGGAATCCAGGCCTTTAGGGAGAGTGGGAATCTGACTTTGGTCTTGCAGCTCCGCATTTTTCCTGCACATTTGCTGATTAGTTTATGCCTGTCAGGGGCCTCAGGGCCAGTGCTCAGTCCCAGGGTCTTAGGGTAGGAAAGATGATTCCCCAGATTTCCTGCAGGCATTTGAGCATGGTGGAAGGATCAGTGGAGCCTCCAGTGAAACTTGGCAGATTGCGCACTTCATTTATTTTCACTCTCCCAGGATCCTTCCCAAATTATCATAAATAAACAGAGAATTCTGAAACCTACAAAGAAAAATACAGCAAAAGAACAATGAATCAGTTTCAAAGCCTAGGCAGAGAGGCCGTAGGGTGACTGACAGCAGCCCCTGTGGGACTGGAGAGCAGACGGTTTGGTGGAAACGGCGCCCAGTTCCACAGAGGGAACTTGAGGAGAAGCAAAATGACTGAGCCAGCAGAGCCGGGCCCCAGACCCCCACCCCAGCCTGTAGGAGCTGCAGGTGTGATCTGGGAACACACTGTTCTGTCCCTTCTATTTTTCTCTTCATATAAGCTCTGGTTCTAGAAACAACTCACCTGCAGCCCGCTGTCTGGACCAGAACGTGGTAATGGGGCTGGACTATTTACAGGCCCATTGTGACTATTTACAGCCCTACTTACAGGCTGTACCACGGCCATCTCCCAGCACGTGCTCAGCTATGACGTCAAAATAAGGTAGAGCCGGCTGGATGAGGTGGGGCAGGGGAACCGGAGCTGTACACACAAGTGGTGGGGGCTCAGGGGCTCAATACTGTCTGGGGCCAGGGCTGTAAACATGGCTGGGGTGGCCCCTGTGTCATGGGGAGGAAGCCCGTGGGGGAAATGTCATTCTCATCACATCACATCACACCAAGGGTACCTGCTATTAACATGGCTTATCGCTTTTTAAAACATTTGAGATTCAGTGGGTGCATGCGCAGGTTTGTTACATGGATAAACCGTGTGGTGCTGAGGTTTGGGCTTCTAGTGAACCTGTCACTCAGATAGTGAAGACAGTGCCCAACAGGCAGTTTTTCAGCCCTTCCCCTGCTCCCGCTCTCCACACTTTTTGAGTTTCTAGTCACTTTTTTTTTTTTTGAGATGGAGTCTCTGTTGCCCAGGCGCTGGGACTACAGGCACCCGCCACCATGCCCGGCTAATTTTTTGTATTTTTAGTAGAGGTGGGGTTTCACCGTGTTAGCCAGGATGGTCTCGATCTCCTGACCTCGTGATCCAGCCGCCTCGGCCTCCCAAAGTGCTGGGATCATGTAGGGTATGATCTCGGTGCCCTGCAACCTCCGCCTCCCGGGTTCAAGTGATTCTCCTGCCTCAGCCTCCTGAGTAGCTGGGACTATAGATGTGTGCCACCACACTCGGCTAACTTTTGCATTTTTAGAAGAGACAGGGTTTCACCACGTTGGCCAGGCTGGTCTCAAACTCCTGACTTCAAGTGATCTGCCCGCCTTAGCCTCCCAAAGTGCTGGGATTACAGGCCTGAGCCACCACGCCCGGCCCTTGGTCCATGGTTTTACACCAGTGACACCTATAAACTGATGATTCCCACATTTAAAATATCCAGCCAAAGCTCTCGGCCAATTTCTAGATTGTTCCTGTGCTTCCACAGCTTCTAGTGCCACTGGTATGTCTGACACCATCTTACGTTTAAGGTCAAAAGATTTCTGAAGCCCCCACACAACTCAAACCCAACTGCTCCCCCAGTGTTTTCCATCTCAGTCAAAGTAGCATCCTTCCCTCCCTTCCCCACCCACCCCGCAATTTACCTAGTTCCCTGGCCCCAGGTTCTCTCAGTGCCCACATGAGCAAGACCAGCTGGCTTTATCTTCAAAATAGACCCCGAACCTGTCTGCAGTATTTCCACCCTAGTCCAAGCAACCCGCAACCTTCCTGTCTGGATTCTTGTACCTGCTTCCTACAGGGCATCTCTGCTTCTACTCTTGCCCCCACTCCCCCACATAATCTTTACATGGATTTTTTAAAATAGGTAAATCAGACCATGCCACTTCCCTTCCCAGAGCCCTGCGGTGCTTTCTCATCATTAGAATAAATAGGTCTCCTGATCCAGGCCTTGCTTAGCTTTCTGACTTCCTTTTATTTTTTATTTATTTATTTATTTATTTATTTTGAGACGGAGTCTTGCTCTGTCGCCCAGGCTGGAGTGCAGTGGTGTGATCTCGGCTCACTGTAAGCTCCGCCTCCCGGATTCACCCCATTCTCCCACCTCAGCCTCCCGAGTAGCTGGGACTACAGGCGCCCGCCACCACACCCGGCTAATTTTTTGTATTTTTAGTAGAGACGGGGTTTCACTGTGTTAGCCAGGATGGTCTCAATCTCCTGACCTCGTGATCCTCCCACCTTAGCCTCCCGAAGTGCTGGGATTACAGGTGTGAGTCACCGTGACCAGCTCTGACTTCCTTTTCTAATGCTGGAGACAGAGGTGACCCTGTGGAGACGTGGACCCTCTATTAGGTGGAGGGGAGAGGAGGAAAGGGACGGAGGGAGGGAGGGAAGAAAGGGAGAAAACACCAATAACTCAAAGAAGAATCACCATGTAAGCAACTGGTGCCCATCAGGAACATGCATCTTGCAAGAATCACCATGTAAGCAACTGGTGCCCATCAGGAACATGCATCTTGCAAGAATCACCATGTAAGCAACTGGTGCCCATCAGGAACATGCATCTTGCAAGAATCACCATGTAAGCAACTGGTGCCCATCAGGAACATGCATCTTGCAAGAATCACCATGTAAGCAACTGGTGCCCATCAGGAACATGCATCTTGCAAGAATCACCATGTAAGCAACTGGTGCCCATCAGGAACATGCATCTTGCAAGAATCACCATGTAAGCAACTGGTGCCCATCAGGAACATGCATCTTGCAAGAATCACCATGTAAGCAACTGGTGCCCATCAGGAACATGCATCTTGCAAGAATCACCATGTAAGCAACTGGTGCCCATCAGGAACATGCATCTTGCAAGAATCACCATGTAAGCAACTGGTGCCCATCAGGAACATGCATCTTGCAAGAATCACCATGTAAGCAACTGGTGCCCATCAGGAACATGCATCTTGCAAGAATCCCCATGTAAGCAACTGGTGCCCATCAGGAACATGCATCTTGCAAGAATCCCCATGTAAGCAACTGGTGCCCATCAGGAACATGCATCTTGCAAGAATCACCATGTAAGCAACTGGTGCCCATCAGGAACATGCATCTTGCCTGCTGTTATCTAATAGTCGAGACGTGAAGTGGGCTGGCAAATTTGTGGGTTCTGTTTTTTTTTTCAAGATGGAGTCTCACTCTGTCGCCCAGGCTGGAGTGCGGTGGCGTGATCTCAGCTCACTGCAACCTCTGCCTCCCGGGTTCATGCCATTCTCCTGCCTCAGCCTCCCGAGTAGCTCCGACTTCAGGCACCCGCCACCACGCTAATTTTTTGTATTTTTAGTAGAGAGGGGGTTTCACCGTGTTAGCTAGGATGGTCTTGATCTCCTGACCTCGTGAGCCACCGCGCCCGGCCGGCAAATTTATGGGTTCTTGTTATGGAGAATTGACCTAGGTTGATATTCATTCTGCCAGAGCCAGTGGAATTTGTAGTTTCTGAAAAGAGTTGTGTTATTTGGCAAAACCTGAATTGGGCATCACTTATCTTCATGTACTTAGCCAAAGCCCTAAAAAAACTTTTTTGAGGCTGTGTGCGGTGGTTCACGCCTGTAATCCCAGCACTTTGGGAGGCCGAGACGGGCCGATCACGAGGTCAGGAGTTTGAGATCAGCCTGGCCAAGATAGTGAAACCCTGTCTCTACTAAAAATTAAAAAAATAAGCCAGGCGTCGTGGCAGGCACCTGTAATCCCAGCTACTCAGGAGGCTGAGGCAAAGAATTGCTTGAACCCAAGAGGCGGAGGTTGCAGTGAGCAGGCAGAGGAGACCCTGGAGCAATAATCCCTGGAAATAACAGGAATTTCAGGGACAAATCCAGATCCTCAAAAACTGTGAAACTGAGGGAGTCTGAGCAGAGATCTCCAATGAACCAGGTACCATCTGTGTGCCAGGGCAAGAGGACGGAAAACGGACCAGGTCTGTTTCTGACAGGTTGAGCAGGTGGAGTGGGAAGGAGGGATCCGGAAGGCCAGGAGGGTGGAGGGAACTGCAGGGGTGGGTGGTGGTGGGCGGGGCTGGGCTTTAGCCTCCTCCTCCCACTGCCCACCCCACCCTTAGGAGCCCTTTGTGAGGGGGAGGCCCCAGCTCTGTGATGTGGACCTGGGCCCCAATAACTTGTCCCAGAGGGGATGCCCAGGGCTCAGTTGCCTGAGGACAGCAGTGCAGTTGACATGGATATTCTCTTTCCTCTGGACAGTGTTATTGGTACAGAGCTGTGCCCCAGCCCCATTCCCCAGATCATCCATTTCGTCCTCTTTGTTGTGTTCAGCCTGGTGATCCTGATTATCTTACGCCTCTACATTCCCAGGGAGCCGTCCTCAGTGCCTCCCAGAGAGGAGGACAGCGAGAATGTAAGGAGCCCTCAGCCCACACCCAGCAGAGAATGCTTCTATTTTTCCTGCTCTCTTTTCCACTTTTCCACATCAGCCAGAGGCGCTCCTGTGATGGGAACTCTCATCATCCCTCTAGGGACAGCAGGGCAGGCAGGGGTTGGAGTGGGCATAGGATTTCCAACCCAAGCTCCCAGACCATCTGTGGAGGTGCACGGGAGGCGTCAGAGCAAAACCAAACCCCAGGACTCAGCGGCGAGGACCCGGTCATGAGAGGGGTGAGGTCTCTGTGGAAGGACAGGCCCTGAGCCCGGGCTCATCAGCCGCCTTCCTGGGCAGGTGCCTCGGGGCCCAGCCTCTGTGTGAGGTGCTCTGGGGGCTGTGCTGAGCCCCTGAGAGCCTCCCACCTGAGACTGGAGTCGCCCCTGGCCTCCTCGGAAGCAGAATCCTCCCTGCCAGCTCAGAGGCACCTGCAGACCCAAGAGTGTGCGTTTCCCAAGCAGCGGAACAGGGACTGAGGATACCCAGGGCAGGCCTCACATAGAAAACCCCTCCATGCTTTCCAGAGAAGGAAACCAGAAAAAGGTTATTACGCACTTTAGAAACCAGTGAAAGAGAAGCACACAGGCTCCATGAGCTGGGCGGAGAAAGTGTGTCATTCACGAGCACTGGGTCTGCAGCTGTGGGGACAGGAGACTGAGACCCGGCCTGCACCCTCTTTCTTGTCTCTCAGGATCAAGCTGAAGTGGGGGAATGGCTCAGGATCGGAAATAAATATATCACTTTGAAAGGTAAGGCTCTGAGGGTCCCAGAAGCCCCAGAGATGACAGCTTCACCTGTCCCTAGGAACAAGCACCAAGTCTCCTAGGAAGTCATCTGCAGAGGCCTGATGGGGAAGCTCCTGGTAGGGCAATTGGAACCCGGGATCCATCTCCGATTCCCTGCTGAGTTGAAGCCATGGGGTCCAGGGAGCGGGTGTTGCCCAGGAGGGGACCAGTGACCACCTGGACGTGCAGGAGGGGATGCAGGTCCATGTGGGCAGCTGTTTAACATGGCTGAGTCCTCTTTGAGACTGCCTCTGTCCTCTCTCCCCAGGAGGTTGTCGTGACCCCCATGATGGAGCGTGTCGGGAAGCACTTTGGAGAGGACAAAGTGCTGCCCACCGGGCACCTGGCTATCACTCCTGGGGCCCTGTGGCCTTGGACAGGGATGCTGGGGCTCCAGGGTCTAATCCCCAATCCCGGGGTCTCCCCTAAGGGCACACGCAATCGGCCTCCTGTAAGTCCCAGTTCCCTCCCTCGCCACCATAACCCATCTCCTGCTTTCCAGATTACAGAATTCTCTTGAAAGAACTGGAGAACCTTGAGATCTACACTTTCCTGTCGAAAAAGTGAGGCTCTTCCCCTTCCCTCCCATGTCCTTCTTCCTACCAGGGCCTAGGATGCCACCCCAGGGCCTGGGGCTGATCTGGGAGGGGAGATCACAGCCATGATGTCACTAAAGCCCTGGGCAGGGGTAGGCAGAGCTTTGTGAAGTCAGCAGGGGGGCCCTGGAGGTCCACAGGTGCCCAGTGCTCCCGGCTGCAGCCTGTGCCTCCTGTCTCCTGCAGGTGCCTGAAGAAGCTCTCTAGGGAGGGCAGCTCCCATCACCTTCCACGCCAAGTCCGCCCAGGGCCAGTGTACAAACCAGCACCTGCTAGGAACCACCGGCCACGTGGGGGGCGTGGGAAAGCTTCTCCCACCAGCTTCCATGTGTCCCCACGGGCTCCCCTGGCTCCTCTGGCCTCCATGCCGTCATCAGTCCCGAAGACCTCCGTAGAGTCCTTGGGGTCTCCATCATCCCTGAGCTCCTCCAAGCCACGAGAGCCTCTGTGTCCCCTGAAGCACCCTTCACACCAGCCACCTGCGAGCACCCTATCACCAAACCCGACCAGCTCCACAGAATCCTTGGGGTATCTGTCATCCCTGAGCTCCTCCCAGCCACCAGAGCCTTTGCGTCCCCTGAAGCACCCTTCACACAAGCCACGTGGGCGTTCCCTTCCCCGACGACGGAATCCTGGCTGGGTGTCCTGGTCCGACTCCATGCAGGCTGATTCCGAAACTGACACCATAATATGCCCAATGTGCAAGGCCCCTGAGCGCTCCTGTCCACACACCTGGTGGGTGCCTTCTAGCCCTCGAGTGATCCGAGGCGTTGGTCGCTGCAGTGATCCCAACCTGGGCCTCTCCTGGAGGCAGGAGGCTGCTAGAGCCTGGTGCCACTGCACCTCCTCACAGTTCCCATTCAAGCACCCTAATCTTCCCACCCACCTACCAAAGGCTTCCTTCTAGGGAGACCCCACATGCAGGCAGGTGGAGGCAGGGGTCCCGCTTTCCTCAGCCTGGATGTGCCAACGCTGCTGGACGCATAAGACACCAAAATCCCAGACACTCCCATGGACACCGAATATCCGACATCCACGAACAATTGGGAATCTCCTGAGGACAACTTGGAGGTGCGTCCCCTCATCTGCGCACCCCACAGATGCTGGAAATGCATGTTCTAATGGATTGGGAGAGACGGAGATGGGGTCCAAACCTCCAGTCCCTGGAGCCCGTAAATCTCCTTGGGAGGCTTGGCGCCCACAGAGACCTCTTCCACAGCGCTGCACACACAGATCTTCCTTCCTAGAGGATCTGAACTCACTTAGAAAACTGCCAGCACAGGAGGGATAACATCAGCTGTGCCCCCCACTGGAGAACCCAGAGACTCTGGGTCATTGTCAACATTGCCCCCAGAATGGGCTCTCTGCTGGGGAAGATGCTCAGGAATTGCTGCTCTTTTGCAATGCCAGTCTCTCCTAACAGAACTGCAGATTCCACGTGTAGACCTGCAAACTTCTGTTCTCTGCAGTTCCCTGAGTCACAGTTTACACAATCACAATTTTTTTTTTTTTTTTTAGATGGAGTCTCACTCTGTTGCTCAGGCTGGAGTGCAGTGGCACCATCTTGGCTCACCACAACCTCCGCCTCCCGGATTCAAGCCATTCTCCTGCCTCAGCCTCCCGAGTAACTGGGATTACAGGCTTGTGCCACCGCACCCAGCTAATTTTTGTAATTTTAGTCGAGAGAAGGTGTCACCATGTTAGCCAGGCTTGTCTTGAACTCCTGACCTTGAGATATCTGCCCACCTCAGCCTCTCAAAGTGCTGGGATTATAGGCTTGAGCCACCACGGCTGGATGAATCATAAATTGTAAACCTGAATAAAATGCTGCAACCTCCAATGAGAGGAAAATATCTTCTTTGTCCAATTTTAGTTATTGTCCAGTCAAATGGTATCAATGTCATATTTTAAAATTTCATTGGTAACAAGGCCTGAACTAGAGATGGGTGACTTCCTTGTTTTGGAAACACGATCAAGACCCACAGCGAGTGGATTCTAGAAATAAACCAGCAGAGGCATGTGGGCTCACACTGGCCTCCAGGGGCTGTGCAACTGGCACATTATTTTGCACATAACTTGGGTCAGGTTTGTGAGGTCTGGTTTTTAAACAAGTAAGTCAAATGTATGGCAGTATTTCTATTTTATCCTATGGCAAAATAATTCTTCCTAATTTTAATATTATTTTGTTCCTTAGGATTTGACAAAGTCTTAATGTTCAGCCAACATGGCTTAAGCTGTTGAACTACTCAGTTTTGTTTTGTTTTGTTTTATTTTTTTGAGACGGAGTCTTGCTCTGTTACCCAAACTGGAGTGCAGTGGCGAGATCGCAACTCACTGCAATCTCCACCTCCTGGATTCAAGCCATTCTCCTGCCTCAGCCTCCTGAGCAGCTGGGACTACAGGCGCCCGCCACCACGCCTGGCTAATTTTTGTATTTTTAGTAGAGACAAGGTTTCACCATGTTGACCAGGATGGTCTCCATCTCTTGACCTCGTGATCCGCCCGCCTCAGCCTCCCAAAGTGCTGGGATTACAGGTGTGAGCCACCCCGCTCGGCCTTTTTGTTTGTTTGTTTGAGACAGAGTCTCACTTTATTGCCCAAGCTGGAGTACAGTGGCGCGATGTTGGCTCACTGCAACCTCCACCTCCCAGGTTCAAGCGATTCTCCTGCCTCAGGTTCCCGGGTAACTGGGATTATAGGTGCTGGCCACCACTGCCTAGGCTGGTCTCGAACTCCTGGCCTCAACTGATCTGCTGGCGTCAGCCTCTCAAAGTGCTGGGATTACAGGCATGAACCACTGGCTATTTTTTTTTTTTTTTTTTGCCTCTCAGCCTCAAGCAGTCCTTCTGCCTCAACCTCCCCAGTAGCTGGGACCACAGACACACACCACCATGCCTGACGAATTTTTGTATTTTCTGTAGAGATGGGGTTTGCTGTGTTGCCCAGGCTGGTCTCGAACTCTTGGCCTCAAGTGATCCACCTGCCTCAGCCACCGGGTCTGGCCCCTTCATGCATTTTTTTCATTTATTTATTTATTTTAGACGGAGTCTCGCTCTGTCACGCAGGCTGGAGTGCAGTGGCGCGATCTCGGCTCACTGCAACTTCTGCCTCCCAGGTTCAAGCGATTCTCCTGCCTCAGCCTCCTGAGTAGCTGGGATTACAGGCGCACGCCACCACGCCCAGCTAATTTTTGCATTTTTAGTAGAGATGGGGTTTCACAATGTTGGTCAGGCTGGTCTCAAACTCCTGACCTCGTGATCCACCCACCTCAGACTCCCAAAGTGCTGGGATTACAGGCATGCGTCACTGCACCAGTCCCCTTCATGCATTTTTGAATTGAGTTGTTTGATTTGTTGTTGGCAAATATTTTCCCTCATGCTGTGGGTTGCTCCTTACATTTTTTTTTTTTTTTTTTTTTTTTTTGAGACAGAGTCTCACTCTGTCACACAGGCTGGAATACAGTGGCAGGAGCTCTGCTCACTGCAACCTCTGCCTCCCGGGTTGACGCCATTCTCCCAATTCAGCCTCTCGAGTAGCTGGGACTATAGGCGCCCGCCACCACGCCTGGCTAAATTTTTTTTTGAATTTTTAGTAGAGACGGGGTTTCACCGGGTTAGCCAGGATGGTCTTGATCTCCTGACCTCATGATCCATCCACCTCGGCCTCCCAGAGTGCTGGGAACACAGGCGTGAGCCACCATGCCCGGCCGCTCCTTACATTTTTGAGCCTTCATAATCAATCTTCCTTCCTTTCTTTCTTTCTTTTTTTTTTTTTGATGGAGTTTTCCTCTTGTTGCCCAGGCTGGAGTGCAATGGCGTGATCTTGGCTCACCGGAACCTCCACCTCTTTGGTTCACGCGATTCTCCTGCCTCAGCATGCCAAGGATTATGAGCAGGCGCTGCCACCACGCTCTGTTAATTTTGTATTTTTCAGTAGAGACAAGGTTTCTCCATGTTAGTCAGGCTGGTCTCCAACTCCTGACCTCAGGTGATCTCCCTGCCTCGGCCTGGTTACAGGCATGAGCCACCGCACCAGGCCTTTTTTTTTTTTTTTTTTGAGACAGAGTCTTGCTGTGTCACCCAGGTTGGAGTGCAGTGGCGCCATCTTGGCTCACTGCAGCCTCCGCCTCTCAGGTTCAAGTGATTCTCCCACCTCAGCTTCCCGAGTAACTGGGATTACTGCCCCACCACGCCCGGCTAATTTTTGTATTTTTAGTAGAGACAGGGTTCCACCATGTTGGCCAGGCTGGTTTCGAACTCCTGACCTCGTGATCTGCCCGCCTTGGCCTCCCAAAGTGCTGGGATTACAGGTGTGAGCCACCACGCCTGGCCCAAGTCTTCATAATTTCATTCTCCATTTGGAAGGATGCTTGGCCCATTGCTTACTAGCTCCGCATTTGTGTCTTCATTTCATGCATTTGTCCATCCAGTCAGTGAATGTTCAAGTACATTCCATTTGCCTTGCCCTAGGATGACCGGAGGAGAAAAGATCCCTTTCCTGGAGAAGCTTAGAATCTAGCAGGGAGATGAAGAAAAATGAGTAACTTTACAATCCAGTCCACAGCTACAAGTTTCAGCAAGTGCTATGCACTATAATGAGAGCCCCTAATTGGGAGCTATTTGGGAGTTGGGGAGAGTTGCTGAGAAAGTGATGCGTGGCCTGGTCAGGCAGAGGGAAGCAGGCTTTGAGGCTAAGAGGCCAAGGGCCTGGAGCGGCAGCCCCCAAGCTGGACAGGGAGGGAGCCGATTCTACTTGGAGAGCAAACACTGAAGCCTCAAGTGACACAATCCAATTCATATCCTTTTTTTTAAATTTTATTTTAAGGATGGGGTCTCATTCTGTTGCCCAGGCTGAGTGCAGTAGCACGATCATAGCTCACTGCAATTCAAACTCCTAGGCTCAAGCAATTCTACTGGCTCAGCTGGAGACTGTAGCTGGGACTACAGACACGCACCACCACACCTGGTTAATTATTTTTATCTTTAAAAAATTTTTGTTTTTTGTTTTTGAGACGGAGTTTCGCTCTGTCGCCCAGTCTGGAGTGCAGTGGCGAGATCTCGGCTCACTGCAAACTCTGCCTCGCGGGTTCAAGCAAATCTCTGCCTCAGCCTCCTGAGTAGCTGAGATTACAGGCGCCCGCCACCATGCCTGGCTATTTTTTTTTTTTTTTTGTATTTTTAGTAGAGACAGTGTTTCACTGTCTTGGCCAGCTTGATCTTGAACTCCTGACCTCGTAATCCACCTACCTCGGCCTCCCAAAGTGCTGGAATTACAGGCGTGAGCCACCGTGCCCGGCCTGGAATTTTCTTTTTGTAATGCTTTTGTCAGGTTTTTGTCTTAGGTTAAGCTGGCCTCACATAAGGAACTGAACACTTCCTCTATTTTCTCAAAGCGTTTGTATGAGACTGGTGTTGATGTCTTCACTGAATATTTGATTCAAAACAAATGATTAATATAATAAAAAAAAATTGACCAGTCAGCTGAGTGTGACGGCTTTTGCCTGTAATTCAAGCACTTTGGGAGGCCGAGGCAGGAGGATTGCTTGAGGCCAAGAGTTTGAGCCAAGCCCTGGCAACATAGCAAGACCCTACCTCTCCAAAAGATAAAATAAAAAGCCAGGCACGGTGGCTCAGGCCTGCAATATTAGCAGTTGGGGAGGCCGAGGCGGGCACATTGCCTAAGCTCAGGAGTTTGAGACAAGCCTGGGCAACACGGTGAAACCCTGTCCCTACTAAAACACAAAAATTAGCCAGGCGTGGCAGCGGCATGCACCTGTATTCCCAGCTACTCGGGAGGCTGAGGCAGGAGAATTGCTTGAACCCGGCAGGCGGAGGTTGCAGTGAGCCGAGATCGGGCCACTGCACTCCATGCTTCAGCCTGGGTGACAGAGCAAGACTCCGTCTCTAAAATAAATAAATAAAATAAAATAAAACAAAATACTAAGCGGTTAAATCATCCAGGCCTGGGTTTTTCTTTTCGGAAAGTATGGATAACAAATTCAGTTTCCTTACTTGTGTTTCTTTTTTTTTTTTTGAGACGGAGTCTCGCTCTGTCTGTTGCCCAGGCTGGAGTGCAGTGGCCCGATCTTGGCTCACTGCAAGCTCCGCCTCCCGGGTTGACACCATTCTCCCAACTCAGCCTCTTGAGTAGCTGGGACTACAGACGCCCGCCACCACGCCTGGCTAATTTTTTTTTGGATTTTTAGTAGAGACGGGGTTTCACCGTGTTAGCCAGGATGGTCTCGATCTCCTGAACTCGTGATGCGCCTGCCTCGGCCTCCCAAAGTGCTGGGATTACAGGCGTGAGCCACTGCGCCCGACCACTTGTGTTTCTTTTCAAGAATGGACCCCATGGCAGACATCCATGAGTTTTCATGGTCAGAAATTGGTCTCATGCACACCCCAGCCAACCGAGGTGAGAGAAATGGCATTACAGTGATTGGCTTAGACACGTCAGGATATGTCCCTGAACCAGGACAAGAGGCACCTTCTCCAAGGGTGGATCCCAAAGAAAGTCAGAGGTCTTGGCAAAGAATGGGGAAAAGGGATTATGTAGGCAACCCAGTGTCTGCTACAGAATGAGCAGCGGAGAAGAAAGCAACCTGAAAGGCTGAGTAATTACAAAAAAAGACTAAATTAAATCCATACAAGAGCAAGTTTGCTCTGTTTCCACCTTCACTAGGAATGAGGGCTCAGAGCAGGGCATGCTGGGAAGTAGAAAATAAAGTTACCATTTTTCTGTTTCAGCCATAGCGTGTACATATTACCCTACTCTAGCCCACCCCCTTCTCTCACACACAGTAGTTGTTAAAATAAAAACTTGGCCAGGCGGGATGGTTCACCCCTGTAATCCCAGCACTTTGGGAGGCCTAGGTGGGCGGATCACGAGGTCAAGAGTTCGAGACCAGCCTGACCAACATGGTGAAACCCCATCTCTATTAAAAATACAAAAATTAGCTGAGTATGGTGGCACGCGCCTGTAATCCCAGCTACTCAAGAGGCTGAGGCAGAAGAATAGCTTGAACGCGTGAGGTGGAGTTTACAGTAAGCTGAGACTGTGCCATTGTACTCCAGCCTGGGCGACAAAGCGAGACTCCGTCTCTAAAATAAAATGAAATCAAATCAAATCTTGGGCTGGGAGGCCAAGATTATCTGTCCCGAAATTTGACAGATTATAATTATTTTTTAGAAGTGGAATCTTGCTGTGTCACGCAGGCTGGAGTCCAGTGGCACAATCACAGTTCACTGGAGCCTCCAACTCCTGGGCCCAAGCTATCCTCCCATCTCAACTTCCCAGCTGGCTGGGACCACAGGCAGGTGCCACCACACCCAAGTAATTATTTTTTAAGTATTTTTTAATTTTTTGTAGAGACGAAGACTCGTTTTGTTTTCTGGGTTTCTTTTTTTTTTCTTCTTCTTTTTTTGACAAGAGTTTCACTCTGTCGCCAGGCTGGAGTCAGTGGCACGATTTCGGCTCACTGCAACCTCCACCTCCCGGGTTCAGGCAATTCTCCTGCCTCAGCCTCCCAAGTAGCTGGGACTATAGGCGGGCGCCATCACACTAATTTTTGTATTTTTAGTAAAGACGGGGTTTCCCCATGTCGGCCAGGATGGTCTCGATCTCTTGACCACATGATCCACCCACCTGGGCCTCCCAGAGTGCTGGGATTACAGGCGTGAGCCACGGCGCCTGGCCCCCTGGGCTGGTCTTGAGGTCCTGGGCTCAAGTAAGCCTACCTCTGAGCCTTCCAAATTGTTGGGCTTATAGGCGTGAGCCACTGCACGGTCTCAAATAATTATTTTAGGGTTGAGTTTTTACTGAATCTGGTGAGTTTGACTAATGTAAGACTTCCCTTTGGCCCTGGGCAAGTATAAAAGATAAATTGAGGCCGGGCGCGGTGGCTCATGCCTGCAATCCCAGCAGTTTGGGAGGCTGAGGTGGGCGGTTCACCTGAGGTCAGGAGTTCGAGACCAGCCTGATCAACATGGAGAACCCCTGTCTCTACTAAAAATACAAAATTAGCCGGGCATGTGGTACATGCCTGTAATCCCAGCTACTCGGGAGGCTGAGGCAGGAGAATCGCTTGAACCCAGGAGGAAGAGGTTGCTGTGAGCCGAAAGTGCGCCATTGCACTCCAGCCTGGGCAACAAAAGAGAAACTCTGTCTCAAAAAAAAAAATTTTTTTTTTAATTAAAATTAAAAAAAAAAAAGAAAGATAAAGCGAAGTCCATGTGTCAGGAGCAAGCACAGGACAAAGTCACACAGAGCGGTGTGAGAGGGAGGCTGGGAGGGCAGCCACAGCTGTGCGGGGTGGTCTGGAGAGGACATGGGGCAGCCACAGCTGTGCGGGGTGGTCTGGAGAGGACATGGGGCAGCCACAGCTGGGAGCGGGGGCAGGGGCTGGGGAGGAGAGGAGGAATGTGCAAGCTCAGCTGTGCAAGCTGGGGTCAATGGCTACATCAGAACCAGACCCCATTGCTGGTAGCTTCACCGTCTCGCTCTCATGGGGCCTCCCAGCTATCCCAAATCTCCAAGAAACAGACTCAGAGACCTGCGGTCAGAGGTCCAGCGAGGGGGAGAGCGGAAGTGAGCTCCAGGCCACGTACAACGGCAGTCCCGGTTCCCCGCCATCAGCACGACCTGTGTGAGAGCACAGGGTATCTGGGCAGAAGGAAAACTAGGGGAGCCTCATCCAGCGCTGGAGATGGAGAAGCTTTGGGCTTCTCGACGGCGAGGCACCCGGGGAACGGGGAGTCACTTAGAACCTCAAAGTAGCCTCGGGCGAGAACAAGCGAAGCAATTCCAAGCTCTACCAGGTCACGGAGGGCGCGAAACCCGCCCCGCGCTCCGGCCGGCCGGCAGGGGGCGCGCGCTCCCCGAACTCCCGCGCACCGCGGAGGAGGCGGCCCTGGCGCGGGGAAGCAGTGGGAAAATCGCAAGGAAGCCGGGTAAGGACCTTTCATTTTCAGCCCTGCTCTTTAAATACTAGACATACCGTCTGGCGCATGTCGAGGCGTGTATTATTTTGATCCAGTGCGCGTGCCGTATGTGACTTGGCTTGGCTTCCCCTGAAAGCAGCGGCTGTGGGGAGTTGATTCGGAAGTGAAGGGCCCTGGGCGACCCGGCGAGTAGAGGCAACACCAACACTCCTCCTTAGCGAGGGGTCTCCCCGCCGCGGTGGCTGCCCGGCCCCAAGGACAGGAGGGATTTGTGCACTGACTCCTGACCCCGTCCTCCAGCGCTGCTCTGAAGGGAGAGTCTGTGCAGTGGCACCTGCGCGAAGCTGGCCAAAGCCTGCCCAGACGGCTCACCTGTGCGGGATGGAACAAAAGGTGAGCCCAGGGGGCCTGATAAAATGACCTCAGTAGCCGCCTGTGGGAGGGGACCCTGAGGAAAGCACCATAGTGACTACCAAGCCTGGATGGTTTTACTGCTTACTTTGTTATTTTATTTTATTTTATTTTATTTTATTTATTTTAGAGACGGAGTCTCGCTCTATCACCCAGGCTGGAGTGTGGAGTGCAGTGGCCCGAACTCGGCTCACTGCAACCTCTGCCTCCCCGGTTCAAACAATTCTGCCTCAGTCTCCCGAGTAGCTGGGAATACAGGTGCACTCTGCGACGCCTGGCTAATTTTTGTGTTTTAGTAGGGACAGGGTTTCACCGTGTTGCCCAGGCTGGTCTCAAACTACTGAGCTTAGGCAATCTGCCCACCTCGGCCTCCCAAAGTGCTAATATTGCAGGCATGAGCCACTGCGCCTGGCTTTTTATTTTATTTTTTGGACAGGCAGGGCACGGTGGCTCACGCCCGTAATCCCAGCACTTTGGGAGGCCAAGGCAGGTGGATCACGAGGTCAGGAGATGGATACCATCCCGGCTGACACGGTGAAACCCCGTCTCTACTAAAAATACAAAAAAAAAAAAAAAAAAAAAAAATTAGCCGGGTGTGGGGCGGGTGCCTGTAGTCCCAGCTACTCGGGAGGCTGAGGCAGGAGAATGGCGTGAACCCGGGAGGCGGAGCTTGCAGTGAGCCGAGATTGTGCCACTGCACTCCAGCCTGGGCGATAAAGTGAGACTGTCTCAAACAAACAAACAAACAAACAAACAGGCCGGGCGTGGTGGCTCACACCTGTAATCCCAACACTTCGGGAGGCTGAGGCGGCGGATTACCTGATCTCTGGAGTTCAACACCAGCATGACCAACATGGTGAAACCCCATCTCTACTGAAAATACAAAAATTAACTGGGCATGGTGGCTCACGCCTGTAATCCCAGCACTTTGGGAGGCTGAGGCAGGTGGATCACGAGGTCAAGAGATTGAGATCATCTTGATCAACATGGTGAAACCCCGTCTCTACTAAAAATACAAAAAATTAGCTGGGCGTGGTGGTGGGCGCCTGTATTCCCAGCTAGTGGGGAGAATGAGGCTGGAGAATCGCTTGAATACAGGAGCTGGATGTTGCAGTGAGCCGAGATCGCGCCACTGCACTCCAGCCTGGCGACAGAGCAGGACTCCGTCTCAAAAAAAAAAAAAAAAAAAAAAAAATTCGCCGGGCTTGGTGGGGCTGTAATCCCACCTACTCGGGAAGCTGAGCCTGGGCAACAAGAGCGAGACTCCGTCTCAAAAAAAAAAAAAAAAAAAAAGATATTTGATTTGGCTTTAGACAGTGAGTGACCTGGCTGAAGCCTTGGGAGGTTCGCACCCGGAAAGTTCAAAACCGGCCGCCTGCGTTGTCCGCCTGGAGGAGGCGCGCAGCGTGAACCGGAGAGGGCGTGCTCGGTCCCTCCTCAGGTGGCCGTCGGGCAGACCCTTCTCCTCAGCGGACGGCTGGACACTGTGGGGACGCCTTTGTTTCCGCCGCTCATGGTGTCTGAATCCACAATTCGTTTACGTGGTTGTGGAGCCGGACTCGGCGTCGGAAGGACGGTCTCCTTCAACACAACAGTGGGGCTCCAGCGAAGGCGGAGAGACGCGGGGATCCCAGCCGCAAGGGCGGACCGTGCTGCCTGGCCGCGGCGGGGGAGGGGGTGCTACCCCATACCCGGGCTCTAACCGAGACGCCCTTTTCTTTTTTCTTTTTTTTTTTTTTGAGACGGAGTCTCGCTCTGTCACTCAGGCTGGAGTGCGGTGGCGGGATCTTGGCTCACTGCAAGCTCCGCCTCCCGGGTTCACGCCATTCTCCTGCCTCAGCCTCCCAAGTAGCTGGGACTACAGGCACCCGCCACCACGCCCGGATAATTTTTTTTGTATTTTTAGTAGAGACGGGGTTTCACCGTGTTAGCCGGGATGGTCTCGATCTCCTGACCTCGTGATCCGCCCGCCTCGGCCTCCCAAAGTGCTGGGATTACAGGCGTGAGCCGCCGCGCCCGGCCGAGACGCCCTTTTCTTAAGTCTCCGCAGCTTGCAGTGTACCACCCGAGCAGGTCCCGGAGGCGGCCGATGCTGTTTATCACTCAGAAATTTAAAGTTTGTTTGTTTTGAGAGAGGGTCTCCCCACTTTGCCTAGGTTGGAGTTAAGGGGCGCGATCTCAGCTCACTGCATCCTCCACCTCCTGGGCTCAAGCGATCCTCCCACCTCAACCTCCTGAGTAGCTGGAACTACAGGCATGTGCCACCAGGCCTGGCTAATATTTAAAAAAAAAATTTTTTTTTTTGAGGTCTTGCTCTTGTTGCCCAGGCTGGAGTACAGTGGCGCGAACTCAGCTCATCGCAACGTCCAATTCTTGGGTTCAAACAATTCTCCTGCCTCAGCCCCCTGAGTAGCTGGGATTACAGGCCTACGCCACTGCACCTGGCTAATTTTTTGTATTTTTAATAGAGGCGGGGTTTCACCATGTTGGCCAGGCTGGTCTTGAACTCCCGACCTCAGGTAATTTGCCTGCCTCGGCCTCCCAAAGTGCTAGGATTACAGGTGTGAGCCACCGCGCCCAGCATGTTTTTAACTTTTTGTAGAGATGGGGCCTCAATATGTTGCCCAGGCTGGTCTTGAACTCCTGACCTCAGGTGATGTGCCTGCCTTGGCCTCCCAAAGTACTGAGATTATAGGCATGAGCCACCACACGGAACCTAGATCATTTTTTCTCAACTTTTTTTTTCATGATCGCCATCTTAAAGATCCTTTCTAGATCTTTTTTCCTAGTTTCCCACCACATGATATTTTAATAACATAGATATACCGTAACGTATATCTTTTCATGTCCTGTGGCCCTTTGGAAGGCAACAAACCATTATGTTACCTAAGATTTATTTCCTTCCCCCTCACAGCCTCCCCATCCCACTACCCCCATGCATTCATACCAGAATTTATTCCATACTTCATTAGACATTAAATTGTTTTCTAAAGCTTCCCTATTTCATGCTGCCATGAACAATCTTGTAATTAAATCAGTGCAAAAGTAGGAATGGAATGTATGCTTTAATGAAATGTATGTTTTTTGATTTTTGTTTTTGTTTTTTTTTTGAGCTGTTTTTGTTTCTTTTTTGAGATTTTTTTTTTTTTGAGATGTCGCCCAGGCTGGAGTGCAGTGGCACGATCTCGGCTCACTGCAAGCTCTGCCTCCCGGGTTCACGCCATTCTCCTGCCTCAGCCTCCTGAGTAGCTGGGACTACAGGCGCCCGTCACCACACCCAGCTGATTTTTTGTACTTTTAGTAGAGACGGGGTTTCACCATGTTGACCAGGATGATCTCAATCTCTTGACCTTGTGATCCGCCCACCTCGGCCCTCCAAAGTGCTGGGATTACAGGCGTGAGCCCCCGCGTCAGGCCGAAATGTATGCATTTATACTGCAAATAGCCCTGAGCGAGAGGGTGTACCAATTTACACTCCAAGCACAATGTACCTTGATGGCATCTCCCTGCATCCTTTCCAGCTCTCTTAATTACTCTTTTAAATGATCATTAATTTGAAAATTAGTTGCAAAGGCTTTGCGTTATTTTATTTAATTTGCATTTCTTTGGTTACCACTCAAAGGGACACTTCTCAAGCCTATGGATCATCTGCATATTTTCTTTTCTTTTTCTTTTTCTTTTATTTATTTATTTTTTTGAGACAGAATTTCACTGTTGTTGCCCAGGCTGGAGTGCAATGGCAAGATTTCAGCTCACCACGACCGCCGCCTCCCACATTCAAGCGATTCTCCTGCCTCAGCCTCCCAAGTAGCTGGGATTACAGGCATCTGCCAGCACGCCTGACTAATTTTTGTATTTTTAGTAGAGACAGGGTTTCTCTATGTTGGTCAGGCTGGTCTTGAACTCCCGACCTCAGGTAATCCACCCACCTTGGCCTCCCAAAGTGCTGGGATTACAGGCATGAGCCCGGTCATCTGCATATTTTCTTTTGCAAATCTCAGGGTTCTGTTTTTTTGTTTTATTTTGAGACAGAGTCGTTCTGTCACCGAGGCTCGAGTGTAGTGGCGTGATCTAGTCTCACTGCAACCTCCGCCTCCCAGGTTCAAGTGATTCTCCTGCCTCAGCCTCCAAGTAGCTGAGATTACAGGCAAGTGCCACCATGCCTGGCTAATTTTTGTATTTTTTTAGTAGAGACGGGGTTTCACCATGTTGGCCAGGCTGGTCTCCAACTCTTGATGTCAAGTGATCCACCTGCCTTGGCCTCCCAAAGTGCTGGGATTACAGGCGTAAGCCACTGCACCCAGTCTACTTCATATTATTAAGAAATCCATGAAAATATAATTATAATGGCTATAACATGTCTTCACATAAAATAATTGGAGTATAACAGTTTCCATCAAATCTAAAATATCATCAATTTTAAGTCCCACCATTATTTTCTGTACTACTACGAACAAATTCTGGCCTGGCATGGTGGCTCATGCCTGTAATCCCAGCACTTTGGGAGGCCGAGGCAGTCAGATCACTTGAGTTCAGGAGTTCCAGACCGGCCTGGCCAACCTATCTCTACTAAAAATACAAAAATTAGCCTGGCATGGTGGCATGTGCCTATAGTCCCAGCTACTTGTTGGGAGGCTGAGGCAGGAGGATCACCTGAGCCTGGGTGGGGGAGGTTGCAGTGAGCCAAGATCATGCCACTGCACTCCAGCCTGGGCGACATATCATCATTATTATTACTTTTTTTTTTTTTGAGACGGAGTCTCGCTCTGTCACCCAGGCTGGAGTGCAATGGCGCGATCTCGGCTCACTGCAAGCTCCGCCTCCCGGGTTCGAGCCATTCTCCTGCCTCAGCCTCCCGTGTAGCTGGGACTACAGGCGCCCGCCACCACGCCCGGCTAATTTTTTGTATTTTTAGTAGAGACGGGGTTTCACTGTGTTATCCAGGATGGTCTCGATCTGCTGACCTTGTGATCTGCCCACCTCGGCCTCCCAAAGTGCTGGGATTACAGGCGTGAGCCGCCGCGCCCAGCCGGGTTATTTATGATTGCATTTATTTTCTTTTCTTTGAGGCACAGTCTCGCTCTGTCACCTAGGCTGGAGTGCAGTGGTGTGATCTTGGCTCACTGCAACCTCTGTCTCTGGGGTTCAAGCCATCCTCCCACCTCACACTCCTGTGTAGCTGGGATTACAGACGTATGCCACCACACCCGGTTAATTTATCTTTTTTCCTACACTTGATCTTTGCCAAAAGGATGAGATGTGATAATGTAGTAGAGACGGGGTTTCACCGTGTTGGCCAGGTTAGTCTGGAACTCTTGACTTCAAGTGATCAGCCCACCATGGCCTCCCAGAGAGCTAGGAGTACAGGGTGAGCCACCATGCCCAGCTGATATCATTGGTTTTAAAACACATTCCTGGCCAGGTGCGGTGGCTCATGCGTGTAATCCCAGCAATTTGGGAGGCTGAGGTGGGTGGATCACCTGAGGTCAACATGGCAAAACCCGGTCTCTACTAAAAACACAAAAATTAGCTGGGTGTGGTGGCAGGCACCTGTAAACCCAGCTACTCTGGAGGCTGAGGTAGGAGAATCGCTTGAATCTGGGAGGTGGAGGTTGCAGTAAGCCGAGATCATGCCATTGCATTCCAGCCTGGGTGACAGAGCAAGACTCCATCTAAAATAAATAAATAAATACAAATTTTTAAAAAAGCAGAAGAAAATAAATAAAACACATTCCTATCTTATTGAGGCTAAGCTGTACAAAATGTGTCTTACAAATGATACTAAAGATAACAAATATGTGCTCAATCTCTGGATGGGAAAGGGCTTTCTAAACTTAAAGACAAACCTCAAAGGAACATATCCATGGCTTTGACATCAAGAAATTTAAAACTTCTATATGTCCAAATATTAAAAAGCAATCATAGGCCGGGTGCAGTGGCTCACACCTGTAATCACAGCACTTTGGGAGGCTAAGGTGGATGGATCACTTGAGGTTCGGAGTTCCAGATCAACCTGGCCAACATGGTGAAACCCCATCTCTACTAAAAATACAAAAATTAGCCGGGTGTGATGGTGCATGCCTGTAATCACAGCTATTTGGTATTTTTTTCCTTTTTTTTTTTTTGCAATGGAATCTCCCTCTGTTGCCCAGGCTGGAGTACAGTGGCAGGATCTCTGCTCACTGCAACCTCCACATCCTGGGTTCAAGTGATTCTCCTGCCTCAGCCTCCCAAGTAGCTGGGATTACAGGCGCCCACCACCATGCCCGGCTAATTTTTGTATTTTTGGTAGAGACAGGGTTTCACCATGTTGGCCAACATGTCTGAAACTCCTGACATCAAGTTATCCACCCACCTCAGCCTCCCAAAGTGCTGGGATTACAAGTGTGAGCCATTGCACCTGGCATATCCCAGCAATTTGGGAGATTGAGGCACAAGAATTGCTTGAACCCGGGAGGTGGAGGTTGCAGTGAGCCGAGATCACATACCTGCACTCCAACCTGAGTGACGAAGTGAGACCCTGTCTTAAAAAAAAAAAAGGCATAAATCAGGGCCGAGCATCATGGCTCACATGTAGAATAATCCCAGGGCTTTGAGAGGCCAAGGTGGGAGAATTGCTTGACGCCAGGAATTCAAGACTAGCCTGGGCAACATAGTGAGACCCCCATCACTACAAAAAAAAAAAAAATTAGTCGGGCCTGGTTGAAAGTGCCTTTAGTCCCAGCTACTCAGGAGGCTGAGCTTGGAGGATGGCTTGAGCCCAGGAGTTCAAGGCTGCAGTGAGTTATGATTGTGTCACTGCACGGAACAAGACATTGTCTGTAAAACAAACAAAAAATACCACCACAAAACCACAAAAATAATTAAAAGGTAAGCAAACTGAGAAGAATGTCTGGGGCAACTATCCTAAGGGCTAACAGCCTTAATAAAGAGCTCTGTAAACTGTAAGAAGTATACGAAGACATTAGCCGGGCGCAGTGGCTCACACCTATAATCCCAGCACTTTGGGAGCCCGAGGTGGGCGGATCATGAGGTTAGGAGATCGAGACCATCCTGGCTAACACGGTGAAACCCCGTCTCTAGTAAAAATACAAGAAAATTAGCTGGGCGTGGTGGCGGGCGCCTGTCGTCCCAGCTACTCTACTCGGGAGGCTGAGGCAGGAGAATGGTGTGAACCTGGGAGGCGGAGCTTGCAGTGAGCGGAGATCGCGCCATTGTACTCCAGCCTGGGCGACAGAGCGAGACTCCGTCTCAAAAAAAAAAAAAAAAAGAAGTATACCAAGACATAAAGACCACTGAGGCAAGATGATGAATTTTTTTTTTTTTTTTTAAAGACAGAGTCCTGCTCTGTTGCCCAGGCAGGAGTGCAGTGGTGCAATCTCTGCTCACTGCAACCTCCACCTCCCAGGTTCAAGTGATTCTCCTGCCTCAGCCTCCTGAGTAGCTGGGATTACAGGCACGCGACACCATGCCCGGCTACTTTTTGTATTTTTAGTAGAGACGGGGTTTCACCATGTTGGTCAGGCTGGTCTCTAACTCCTGAACTCTTGATCCACCTGCCTCGGCCTCCCAAAGTGCTGGGATTACAGGCATGAGCCCCACGCGTGGGCTGATGATTAACTTTTTATTTAAAAAAACCTTTGGCCGAGCATGGTGGCTCATGCTTGTAATCTCAGTACTTTGGGAGGCCGAGGCAGGCAGATCACTTGAGGTCAGGAGTTCCAGACCAGCCTGGCCAACATGGCAAAACCCCATCTCAACTAAAACTTAAAAAAAAGTAGCCAGGTGTGGTGGCACACACCTGTAATCCCTCTACTTGGGAGGCTAAGGCATGAGAATTGCTTGAACCTAGGAGGCAGAGGTTGCAGTGAGCCAAGATTGCACCACTGTACTCCAGCCTGGGTGACAGAGTTAGACTGTCTCAAAAACAAAACCAAACAAAAAAACCTTTCATTGCCAGCCATGGTGGCTCACACCTGTAATCCCAGCACTTTCTCTGCGAGGCTGAGGTGGAATGATTCCTTGAGCCCAAGAATTCAAGACCAGCCTGGGCAACAAAATGAGACCCCATTGCTACAAAAAATAAATAAATAAATAAATAAATAAATAAATAATCTGAGCAAGGTGGCACATGCCTGTGGTCCTACCTACTCAGGAGGCTGAGGCAGGAGGATTGTTTGAGCCCAGAAGGTAGAGGCTGTGGTGAGCCATGTTTGCACCACTGCACTCCAGCCTGGGTGACGGGCTGTGTCTCAAACAAACAAATAAAAAATAAAAATTTAAAAACCTTGTTTTAATATAAGTTGGACAATTTATATATAAGAGAATTGGCTATAAGTGTATGAAATGTATTCTACCTTACTACTATTCTTTTTTTTTTTTTTTTTGAGACGGAGTTTTGCTCTTATTGCCCAGGCTGGAGTGCAATGGCGTGATCTCAGCTGACTGCAACTGCTGCCTCCTGGGTTTAAGTGATTCTCCTGCCTCAGTCTTGCCAAGTGGTTGGGATTACAGGCATGCATCACCATGCCTGGCTAATTTTTTTTTTTTTTTTTTTTTGAGAGGGAGTCTTTGTAGCCCAGGCTGGAGGGCAGTGGTGTGATCTCAGCTCACTGCTTCCTCTGCCTCCTGGGTTCAGGTGATTCTCCTGCCTCAGCCTCCAGAGTAGCTGGGATTACAGGCGTGTGCATGCATAGATAATTTTTGTATCTTTAGTAGAGATGGGGTTTCACCATGTTGGCCAAGCTGGTCTGAAACTCCTGATCTCAAGTGATCTGCCTGCCTCGGCCTCCCAAAATGCTGGTATTACACGAGTGAGCCACCGCACCTGGCCGGACTCTCTTCTTGATTACCTCAGCCAAAGTGCCTTCTGAAATGGTACCACAGGTGTGTGCTTCTAGTTCAGTTTGTAGTAGAGGGCCTGGTATGTACCGTCATTCACCCTGCCTGCTCCATCTGCATCCCCCTCACATCCAGCAAGAGTTTTCCTTTACACAGGGTTTACGGCTCCCCTGCTGATCACCTGCCAAAGCCTTCTCTCGGAGATAACACCCTTGCCAAGGCCTAAGTGGCCTTTGAAGATCAGGCCCTGCTTAGCTCTGGGCTCCTGTCTTTCTTTTGATGTCCTCTCTACTTTTTCTCAAACCTGTCAAAACTGGATTCGGACTCTGTGGCACTGGGGTTGGAAACATGCTTTGTCCGCATCTTCCCAGGGTGGCACTCAGGCTTGCACTAGCTAAGGTAGCTCTGCGGCAGGGTCCAGCACTACCTTATTGTTAATTTGTGTATTGTCTGTGTCCACTAAAGCTGGGGTGAGGAAGGCAGCCAAATCAGACATGGGGAGGCCTGGGAGGCTACGGCATCTTAGGTTTTGGGCAGTGCTGCTAGAAACCACGAACATTAGTCATCTCGCAGCATGTGTGCACATGGGGTGACCCGGGGGCCTCCTCGAATGCAGCGTCTACGCCTGGTGAATGGACGCACTCTTACCAATTCTGCTCTGGGAGATGCAGCGGTAACCTACCGAGCGCAGAGGCCGGCGCGCACCCGTGGAGCCCGCGCTCGCGATCCCTCCTCGTGCCAGGGCCCCAGGGCAGTCAAGGCCTGCCGACCGTTAGGCGGGTCAAGGGGTACACAGGGTGCGAATTCGTTAGGCAAAAGCTGGGTACAGGCGCGAGCCACAGGCACGGAAACCTCGCGCCGACCGGGGCCCTAGGCCCGACGACGGCAGGTAAGGGGAAGTGGAGGCACACAGGGCTGGGACGTGCCCCAGGCACCATACGGGTGGCTTCGGGCGCGGGACGTCCGCAGCCCCGCAGCTCCCAGGACGTTCGACAATCTGCAGCTGACCAGCTTCGGCCGGTTTGGGGATAAAGGGAAGACAGGCGGCGCGGGGAGTGGGAACGCCTGAAGGCCGCGCCCCTCCTTTCAGGTCGGCCAGGAGCGCGCCGGTAAGAGCCTGGGGGCAAGGGGTAGAAAGACGCCCACCTCATCACAACCCAGAGCTCGGGACTCCTATACAGTCCCATAGGGAACAGGCGGCCGCCATTCCCCTCCCCCACGCTGGCGGGTAAGGCTAGAGAACGGTTTCAAGGAAGACGCATGCGCATGAAATAATTATAAACCGCTAGGACTCCGAAGTTCAATATTCGCGGGAAGGCGCAGGCGCAACAAAAAGCCCGGCGGGTTTATGGGTGGGGGTGCTGAGCCCAAAACCCAAGCGTGTAATAATCCGCCGGCGGGAGGTGGGCTGGCTCTTGAAATTACGCATGCGCCAGAGCTCTTTGTGACGCAACGGGGCGGTGCGGGCAGCTGGCTGCGCGTGCGCAGAACTCGCACAAGGGACCTTATTTAGGTTGCGCAGGCGCCCGCTGGCCATTTCGTCTTAGCCACGCAGAAGTCGCGTGTCTAGGTGAGTCGCGGTGGGTCCTCGCTTGCAGTTCAGCGACCACGGTGGGTACCGTTTTTGCGAGGATTGTTTGTCCCCATATCTCTGGGAGGGCCACGGGGACCTTGGCGAGCTGCAGGCTGCCGTCGAGAGCCGCGAGTGGTTCGCTGAATCTCGGCACCGCCGCTGAGGCCTGCAGGCCGCGCCGACTCTATTGTGTGAGAAGTCGGAGGAGGCGGAGCGGAAGCGGCCGCCGCCATTTCCTTTCCTCTACGCTGGCTCTCGGCCCGGGCCCCCACGGTTCGGGGCGCCGACAGCTGTTGCTCAGGACAGCTTTGGGGGTCCGGTCGCCGGACGAGGAGGTGTTGGAGTCGCCGGGGTGGGTGCATCCGCCCGGTTTTTGCTCCGTGGGGGGGCGGTGCGGGCCCGGGCGCGCCTCGGAGGCGAAGGACAGCTTAATTGGCGCTCTCAGTTCTGGTCCTCCCCGCTTTGCAGTTTGTTTCGACGCCGGACCGCGTAAGAGACGATGATGTTGGGCACGGAAGGTGGAGAGGGATTCGTGGTGAAGGTCCGGGGCTTGCCCTGGTCTTGCTCGGCCGATGAAGTGCAGAGGTTTTTTTCTGGTGAGTTAGAACTAGGACGCGGGAGTTCGAGTTCGAGGCCGGGGCGGGCGGGCTGGCGGGCGGCCGGGCTGGGGCGGGGCGGGGCGGGGCGGGCCGGGCCGGGCCGGGCCGGGTGGGACCCGGGGCGCCCCCTGGCGAGGCGCGGGCGACTACACTCACCGCTGTGCTGCTCGCGCCCGGCGGCCCGCTGTTACGCAATGGAAATTTCGAAAGCCCCGCCCGTCCTCCTGGCCCTTGGGGGAGTGCGGCAGGTTTGGCAGACTTTGTTTTCTTTACCTATCTTTGAACACCAGCTTTTCTTTTATGGGTGTCTTTTTTTCTTTTTCTTTTGAGTTGGAGTCTCTGTCACCCAAGCTGGAGTGCAGTGGCGCGTTCTCGGCTCACTGCAACCTCCGCCTCCTGGGTTCAAGCGATTCTCCTGCCTCAGTCTCCCGAGTGTCTGGGACTAGAGGCGCGCACCGCCACGCCCGGCTAATTTTTGTATTTTTAGTAGAGACGGGGTTTCACTATTTTGGCCAGGCTGGTCTCGAACATCTGACCTCAAGTGATCCGCCCACCTCGGTTTCCCAAAATGCTGGGATTACAGGCGTGAGCCACCGCGCCTGGCCCGGGTGTCTTTTTTCGAAAGGATAAATTGGCATAGGTGGGATTTCCTCCTCAATCTTGAGAAAATGGCCGAGTGATTAGACAAATAATAGTAATGTTTTGCAATATCTTGAAGTGTAACCTCTTGTTTCCAGTTTTGGTGTTTTCTTAAAAAGGAGCATTCTTCGGAAAGTTAAAATGTCACGTCTTAATTTCAGTTTTCCTAATCAAGATTTGATAATTGAAGAGTGTTTTCTTATCTAGTTCTTAATCTGGCTCACTATACAGTTGAAGACACTGAAGCCCAGGGAAGTGTTTTTGCAGTACATAGGTTTCCTGAATATTTTCTATCAGAATGTCCTTGTTCCTATTATTAGACTGGGAAAAAGAAATTAGACTGATTAAAATTCTATTTGGATGAAATTAACAGCTTTTGGCAAGACGTTTGTAGTATTGACTTACTATCTGAATTTAGCGTTGGTAACGGAAAGCGACCTGTAAAACAAGAACCAAGTACGCTGGAAGCCGCCTTGCAGGGGGCAACACTGGGTTTGGCTTCAGCTGTGCAACTTGGAGCATTTTAGCTTGGTAACACTGATCCCCTTTCAGGTGAGTATTGGGCTTGTAATTTGAATTTGAATGAGAAACCGTAATGTGGCTACTGGTAAGGTAAAACGGATAAATGCCCCAGACCAAAACAGCTCGCAACGAAGTATGTTTGCCGTAAAGTCACACAGTCCAGGCTTGATAATCTTCTGAGAAATTGATAAAAGATGTGTGATGTAGACATGAGTAGCAAGGACTAAAGAGATAAATTCATTCTGAAACTGCTTTGAATATTGTATGTTGTTGATGGGTTGGAAATATATCACCTTAGGAATGAGTTTGTTTTTTTTTAATTGGAGTTTTAGGAGTTGGTAATATCGTGGTCAGTATATATAGGCTTCACAAGTTATGTAATTTGTAGTGGGGACATGGAATAGACATTTCATCTGTGTCACCCAGAGGTGGTTTTAGGTTTTAAATTCTGTATTAACGGTTGTTTTCTTTCCAGACTGCAAAATTCAAAATGGGGCTCAAGGTATTCGTTTCATCTACACCAGAGAAGGCAGACCAAGTGGCGAGGCTTTTGTTGAACTTGAATCAGAAGATGAAGTCAAATTGGCCCTGAAAAAAGACAGAGAAACTATGGGACACAGATATGTTGAAGGTTTGATTTACATTGCCCTAGTTACAGTAAATAAAGCATTAAACAATAGAGGTCTCACCCCTTCTGAATTTTAGGTATTTGACTGCATGGAAATGGTCATCTAAGGGAGTTTGTGGCAGCTCTTCCTAGCTTATCTAAAGACCCAGGAAGTCTGAACTTTGTTATCTAATTTTCCAAAAGTGACTAATTCTAAGCACCTCTTTCAGTATTCAAGTCAAACAACGTTGAAATGGATTGGGTGTTGAAGCATACTGGTCCAAATAGTCCTGACACGGCCAATGATGGCTTTGTACGGCTTAGAGGACTTCCCTTTGGATGTAGCAAGGAAGAAATTGTTCAGTTCTTCTCAGGTATGTAGTCATGTTTGTTGCTGAGCAGTGAGTTTTGGCTAGCTTATGGCAAGGTGATTTAATAGACGTTAAAGTTGAGTAGCTTAGGTATTTCAGTAGGTTGTAAATTGCCAATGAATTAATGTTTTCTTCCTAGAGACCTTCAAATAATTTAAGCCCATCTTAAAGGTGGAAATGAAGTACTTCCAAAATGTTAACTTTGCCTATATTTAGTATTATAGTTCAGAGTAGATCTTTCATTGAGGATTGCCCTCAACAGCTTAACTACTTTCCTCACATTGGTGTCCAGCTAAGTACCTCAAGTTAAAGGTAAGATCCCTTTACCAGCAGATCATCAGTGCGATGAATTAGGTTGTTGTAAATTATGGCAAGTGTCTGTGTTGCAAGAGACACGTATTTGGGTCATGTGACCAGAAGCATCTAATGGTCTAATTCTCTTTAATGCAAAAGTCGGTTTATGAAAGACTTGGTTTAACCTGTGTGGTATAAACTTACTGAAAATCAGATGTAGTGAGAGTAGTTTGAATGCTTGTAGTCTCAGTATCTGAAATAAGTGTTTTGAAATTGTTCCTGGGCCTAAAGTATTTGAATGTTTTTATGCTGAAGAGCTGATAAGATTGCATGTTTAACAATGTTAGATAAGATATCGTATATTTTAAGTATTAATATTTATGATGTGATACGCTGGAAGCAGGAAATCCTTTCATGGTTTAGTGTAGTATGTTAAAAATTGATATATGTATCGAGTCCTAATGTCAGAATTTTTAAAATCAAGTCTGTTTTGTTTTGACACTAAATTGGTGAGAATTGAATGCTGTCAACGTTAAATATGAACATAATTTCATATCTTCTAGGAAAGTGCTTTAAGTCCTTTTTGTAAGCTTGGGAATGTATCCACGGAAAGGATTTTTCATAGACGGAATTTCCAGAAGTGAATCATAACTACTGTTAGAGCATAAGCATGCATGATTGTGCTGTGTAGATCAGTTTTGTTGAAAGTTTAGATTGTTGTGTTTGTCAATTATAATTTAATGTTTCAGTTTTTATATGAAATGTTGTAAATGTATACCTTTTTAAAAACTTGAAGTTCCAATAACTTAAAGCATTGAAATATAAAATGAGGTAAAAGGTGTTTTGAATTTAGTAAAACTGTTATTTAATGCTTAAAACTTAATTGAATTGTATAATTCTCAACATTAAGTTGCATAGATATGTGTTCTTAAGTTGTTGAATTCTTAATGCATCCTGTGTTCAGCAAGTTTTTTTTAATATATACTGTACCATGGGTGTGTTAAGAATAGTTATACTTTATAATAATGGAACTTCATATTATTGCAATGCATATTTAAAGAGTACTTGTTGAAAGCATACCATTCACCTAAAGTTAAAAATTCTGGTTTATTTAAAGCTATAAGAAGAATCATTTCTGGGCTTGTGATGTTAATATTGCCCCCCTACTGGGGTTATTTGTCCTTGGGTTGAAGGGTTGGAAATCGTGCCAAATGGGATAACATTGCCGGTGGACTTCCAGGGGAGGAGTACGGGGGAGGCCTTCGTGCAGTTTGCTTCACAGGAAATAGCTGAAAAGGCTCTAAAGAAACACAAGGAAAGAATAGGGCACAGGTGGGGATGGATGGTTGGTTGGATATGTCACTTTTCTTATGGTAAACAATTAAATCCATATTCTCTCTGCTTAAAAGAAGAAATTAATGTTTTGTAGTCCTAGGTAATTGATGTTTTGCCATGATTTCCAAACTTGTGTCAGTCCCACGTTACACGCAAACTAAATTTTAGGTTTGAAATTTGTCCCTAGTTAATTGGTCTGCTTGACAATTTTGTGAGTCTTATTAACCCCAATCAATAGAGTTGAGAGACTATGGCTTTAAAAAATTAATGCAAACCTGGCTTTAGCTGTAATAACACCCACCTAGAATAAATTAATATTACCATAAGAAAATGTGATACTTTCTGATCTTGTTTTTAAAGTTGAAATGCAACAAACTTTTTCTTGCTGTATATAAATATTCTGCATAGTATTAATAAGCATAGCTTTCAAGAAATTGTCACAAAAGGTTTTATTCTCTTTGCTTGTGACTATTTTTCATTGAAGCATGCGCTTACCTATGCTGATTCTTACTAAAAGCATAGGCTGGGGTATTTATTGGCGAAAGGAAATGTGTAGTGTGGGCTGGACTGTTGGTGGAGGCTGGCTTTTTAGCCCACTTGCTATACATGCTGCCAATGGATTTAAGACTTGAAATGTTGAAAGTTGAGTGGAATTATTTCCCTCCTAAAACATTTATTTACAGTACTCCTCTCTACCCCTAAGGTTGGGCTCTGCCTCAGAGGAGTGAGTTTTTTTTTTTTTTCTATAAAGTTTACATTGTCTTACTATTTATTGAGTGAATTTCTGGTCATTGCCTATGCAAATATAAGAAATCTGGCTTTAAATATTAGTCAGTTTCATGGCTATGACTAGATTGTTTTCTTGTATAACTAAATACCTGTATAAAATGAACTAATGTTTTCTCTCCCCTCCCTACCCCTTCCTTATGAACAATGCTTTAGGTATATTGAAATCTTTAAGAGCAGTAGAGCTGAAGTTAGAACTCATTATGATCCACCACGAAAGCTTATGGCCATGCAGCGGCCAGGTCCTTATGACAGACCTGGGGCTGGTAGAGGGTATAACAGCATTGGCAGAGGAGCTGGCTTTGAGAGGATGAGGCGTGGTGCTTATGGTGGAGGTACGTGAGGATTCGTAAGGTTCGGCAAGTCGTCTGTTCCTTTGTCTAGGTGTTTTATTTGATTGATTGTACTTTGTCTTTCAGGCTATGGAGGCTATGATGATTACAATGGCTATAATGATGGCTATGGATTTGGGTCAGATAGATTTGGAAGAGGTAAGGTAAGAATTGAATTTCTCAGTTGAAGGATGCTTACACTCTTGTCCATCTAGACCTCAATTACTGTTTTTCAGGAATGTCTGATCACAGATACGGGGATGGTGGCTCTACTTTCCAGAGCACAACAGGACACTGTGTACACATGCGGGGATTACCTTACAGAGCTACTGAGAATGACATTTATAATGTAAGTGTGAGATGAACTCACAAGTCAATATTTCAGTATGGCAGTAAGTCAGCCTTATTCTATAAATGTGAGCACTATGTTAGAAATTTTAGGTTTTTTTTGTAACGTTAGAAAGTTGGTTGAATTCTTTGAAATGCCTTGTGTTGTAGTTTTTTTCACCGCTCAACCCTGTGAGAGTACACATTGAAATTGGTCCTGATGGCAGAGTAACTGGTGAAGCAGATGTCGAGTTCGCAACTCATGAAGATGCTGTGGCAGCTATGTCAAAAGACAAAGCAAATATGCGTAAGTGTGATTGAGCATTTGTGGGCTCTTAACAGGTGATTGTGTGACTAACATTTACAATAGAGAAATGGAAAAATAAGGATATATGAGAAGTTTCCTCTCCAGTAATAGATTAATTCTTGGGGGATGCGGGGGCAGTGTGTTGAAGGTTTGGGTTTTAAAAATTAGTATAACGGATTTGTGATATGCACATCTTGAAGTGTATATCCTTAATTGACAATACAGATGAATATGTAAAGGCTAGATTTTGGAGTTAAAGTAGATCACCTAAGAGAAGTAGCTAGAATTTCTTTGCCAAAGTATTTGAAGTTCACAGATCTGCTTGTTTAAAAACTTTATAAAAGTGCTTATTCTGTTTTGTTTCACCAACAAACATTTTCAAACTTTTTTTTTCTCATTTCAGAACACAGATATGTAGAACTCTTCTTGAATTCTACAGCAGGAGCAAGCGGTGGTGCTTACGGTAGCCAAATGCTAGGAGGCATGGGTTTGTGTAAATATCACTTTAGTGTCTTTTTTTTAAGCTAACCTTGTATGCCTTTTCTCTCATTTCAGAACACAGATATGTAGAACTCTTCTTGAATTCTACAGCAGGAGCAAGCGGTGGTGCTTATGGTAGCCAAATGATGGGAGGCATGGGCTTGTGTAAATATCGTTAGTTTTTTTAAAAACCAAAACGTTTATATCTGTATAAGTCAATTATAAGTTAAGTTAATCTATTTATTTAATAAGTTTAGCATAAGAAACTTAGGCAAAGCAGTTTCTTGATATTTGAGTTTTGTATCTGGCTTACTTAAATCCTTGTGAGTTATGAAGTTCCTTAGGATAGATAATTCAAATTAGGTTTAAGTAGTCTTGGGGGAGGGGACTACGGAGTGAAACTACTTAAATTTTCTAAGTATAAAGTTTAAATCAATAGCAAAACAGGATTAAGATAAATGTGGGCATAATTAGGTGTATTGACATGCCTTTGATGTATCAAACTGAGGGGGAACCCACTAAATCCAGTCAAGCAGTTTCATAAGATCTTCACAAAATGCCTCTACTTACGGAATCATGTTGATTTTAGTCCTGCTGATGTGTGTACCGTTAGCACTTTGGTTTATCAATATTTGACTGGCTCAAATGATGGATAGAAGGGTGGCCTGGTTATAGACAGTAGGCAGAAGGAGGCAGAGGGTTACAGTAATGTAAGATCAAGACTGGAAAATGATAGCTATAGAATTACAAGCCCGGTACCACCAGGTACCACATCACATAAGAAAAAAGGTTCTAATGTTTTCTTAACTTAACAGCAAACCAGTCCAGCTACGGGGGCCCAGCCAGCCAGCAGCTGAGTGGGGGTTACGGAGGCGGCTACGGTGGCCAGAGCAGCATGAGTGGATACGGTAAAGCCTGTTTGTTACTGTACTTAGAGTAAGTTATGGTAAAGCCTGTTCATTACTGTACTTAGAGTAAGTTATGGTAAAGCCTGTTACTGTACTTAGAGTAAGTCGCAGGCAGGTGCCTTTAGTTGGGAAGATGCAGGCTCCTTTCGGTGAAATTGGGTTATGAAATGTATGCTTTCAATCCAAATGTAACTGTTTTTACTAGCTAATTTTCAGAAACAATCATTGGGAGGGGGAAGTGTTCTTTGAATTAAGAACTAGTCATTGCAGCTTTGGAATACTGTCGAGCCAGAAAATATCTGCCTCCATGTATTAAAACATTAAATAAAGTTGTTCACTTTTTTGTCTTTTGGTTAGCATTAAGTCAGTTTTAGACAGAGGGAGAATTTGAAATAGTAGAATGGTGGTTGGGTTCAGGATCGTATTTATTAGTCAGTTAACCTAGGATTGGTTTTATTTATTTTTTTTCAATTGGTCTAAAGAATGGTGATTTTGGTATTATAGTCTTACCCTACAAAATCCTTTTGCAGACCAAGTTTTACAGGAAAACTCCAGTGATTTTCAATCAAACATTGCATAGGTAAATATTTTCTCAAAAAATATAAATTCCCAATAGCAAATACTGATATGTTGTAATAATGCTTTCTATAGCAGTCAATGGCTCTGACTTAACTCCATGGAGGCTGCCATTTGGGCACAGTGAGTTGCCTTTAGTCCAGCTTGGTTGTCTCACTTCCTGCCCACCATGAATAGGAAAAGCAAGAGACTTCCCCTGTGCTCCCTTTTCTCAAATGCCATTCGAGGGACACATTGTGAATGTTTATGTTAAATTTTTTTTAAAAATGCCTTGTTTAGCTTTAAAAATACGAAGTAATTTTGCAATTTTTGAAAAACACTAGTTTTCCTTTAAACTTAATTTTTCATGTTGATCCTGAAGAATCCGTTAAAATGGTAGCACAAGAGTCTGGCAAGTTGGTACTGCAGAGAAAAGGGGTTAATTGAGGCTTGTTTGGAGTCGGGATTCCCCTTTCCCAAACATGCGTCTCGCCACTTGGACAGCAGCCATTTGTACTCGTATACTTTTTAAACTTTTTCTTGGAATACTATATTTTATTTGACTGGTAGTCTGATATTACTCCTAACTTGTCAAATTGATCTCTTTGCAGGTAACCAAGGAGCAGTGAACAGCAGCTACTACAGTAGTGGAAGCCGTGCATCTATGGGCGTGAACGGAATGGGAGGGTTGTCTAGCATGTCCAGTATGAGTGGTGGATGGGGAATGTAATTGATCGATCCTGATCACTGACTCTTGGTCAACCTTTTTTTTTTTTTTTTTTTTTTCTTTAAGAAAACTTCAGTTTAACAGTTTCTGCAATACAAGCTTGTGATTTATGCTTACTCTAAGTGGAAATCAGGATTGTTATGAAGACTTAAGGCCCAGTATTTTTGAATACAATACTCATCTAGGATGTAACAGTGAAGCTGAGTAAACTATAACTGTTAAACTTAAGTTCCAGCTTTTCTCAAGTTAGTTATAGGATGTACTTAAGCAGTAAGCGTATTTAGGTAAAAGCAGTTGAATTATGTTAAATGTTGCCCTTTGCCACGTTAAATTGAACACTGTTTTGGATGCATGTTGAAAGACATGCTTTTATTTTTTTGTAAAACAATATAGGAGCTGTGTCTACTATTAAAAGTGAAACATTTTGGCATGTTTGTTAATTCTAGTTTCATTTAATAACCTGTAAGGCACGTAAGTTTAAGCTTTTTTTTTTTTTAAGTTAATGGGAAAAATTTGAGACGCAATACCAATACTTAGGATTTTGGTCTTGGTGTTTGTATGAAATTCTGAGGCCTTGATTTAAATCTTTCATTGTATTGTGATTTCCTTTTAGGTATATTGCGCTAAGTGAAACTTGTCAAATAAATCCTCCTTTTAAAAACTGCACTCTGTCTTGTCTGTGCTTCAGTGTCATGTGGACTGAGTCTTGGTGCTCTGTGCCCACCTGGGGCCTAGGGCCACATCTCTGGCTTGGCAGTTGAGGCTGTTGCGTAGATGTCTTCAGTCTTCCCTCCAGTGCAACTGAAGGTAAACTCGTCTTTGGGGCCCTGGTGGAAGGGCTGTATGTCATTTGGCTGCACAGGACCTGATCTGAACTGCCTGTAACTCATTAAGCACTTGCACAAAACAAAGGGGGAGGCGCCAGTGCCCTCACTGCATGCCTGCATGTCTTTGAGGCCTTCATGCTTGGCTGGGAAGGTGCCGGAGGCAAGGGAGGTGTGATGAATATGTGGGTTTCTTCTAGCTCATAAGCTCATAGGTTTGTTTTTTTTTTTGAGGCAGAGTTATATTCTGTTGTCTCAGGCTGGATTGCAGTGGCGTGATCTCAGCTCACCTGCAACCTCCACCTTGTGGGCTTCTGCCTCAGCCTCCCAAGTAGTTGGGGTTACAGGCGCCCACCACCACTCCAGGCTAATTTTTTTTGTATGTTTAGTAGACACGGGGTTTCACGATGTTGGCCAGGCTGGTCTCCAACTCCTGACCTCATGAGATCTGCCCACCTCGGCCTCTGAAAGTGCTGGGATTATAGGCTGGAGCCATTGCCCAGCCTTCACAGATGGTTTTCAAATGGAAGTTTTGAACTTCTGTATTTTTGGGTCATTCCTAAAAATCAATTCCACTTGGAAGCAAAATTCCATGTAAGTCTCCTAAGGTAGAACGATAGGTAGAGATTGAGAGCTAACATGAGAAGTTTAAATGAACTCTTAAATATATCACGTTTTGGTAGTTCGAAGCTCCAACATGATGATAGCAAGTATTCAAGCTGCTTCCAAGTGGTGTACCTGAGCGAGTTAGAAACGCCACACTTGGAGACGAGTTCAGGAGTCCTTTATTAGCCGGCGACCGAGAGACGGCTACCGCATGAAAGTATCTCGGCCTCGAAGAAGGAGCTAGATTTTCTTTTATACTTTGGTTTGGAGAGGGGAGGGGGATTCTAGCTGCAGCCATCTTAGGGAAGAAAAACAGACAAAAAAGTTAAAGACAAATGGTTACAGGAAAACAGTTCCAGGTGCAGGAGCTTCAAATTCATCACAAAGTGACAGGTGAGGGGGCTCTGGGTGTTATCTACCGGACAAACATGGGGGCTTGATGGTACCATCTCTGAGTAAATTGCTGGGAACTGGACATCGCTTGCCTCAGCACCTTATCAGTTAACTGCACTCTTTGATACGTTGAGAGCTTGCACAAGTTAAAGTCCTTGAGGAAAGGGGGGTGGGTAAGGAGCCCTTGATGTCTTGTAAATGAAGGAGCCAAATGGAGTTGGCCTGGTTTTCTCAGCGAAGGGAGTCTTCATATTAAAAACAAGGTTAGGCATGTAAGGGAGAGTCTATTCGTGTTAATACAAGGTTGGGTATCACAAAAGCAGTCCTGAAAAGCACGCTCCCGGGGTTCCTTCAGCAGATGCTCAGGGGTGCTGCAGTGTGGGAACTGCCGCTACTACTTTCATCCCATTAGATTCAAGTCCCTGATAATGAAATTAGAATGTAGTGTCTGAACTAGGCTGTCACATAGGCTTGTGCCTTTTTTTTTTTTTTTTTTTTGAGACGGAGTCTCGCTCTATCGCCCAGGCTGGAGTGCAGTGGCGGGATCTCGGCTCACTGCAAGCTCCGCCTACCGGGTTCACGCCATTCTCCTTCCTCAGCCTCCCAAGTAGCTGGGACTACAGGCGCCCGCCACTACGCCCGGCTAATTTTTTTTTGTATTTTTAGTAGAGACGGGGTTTCACCGTTTTAGCCGGGATGGTCTCGATCTCCTGACCTCGTGATCCGCCCGCCTCGGCCTCCCAAAGTGCTGGGATTACAGGCGTGAGCCACCGCGCCCGGCCGCCCTTTAAAGCGAAGTGTGGATAAGCTTTCTCTTTTCTGCGATTACACGAGCTTTTCTTGAGTTTGTTGTTGGGGTAGAGCTAGGTAGGGTGGACAGAGTGGCTTAGTATCGGTCATTTCTAACCATCTGCCCACAGGAGCAGTGCATGCAGGAGACATGGAGGGGAGGGCTTTGCAGATCTACCTTGCTTGCCCCTACCAGGACTGGACACTAGCAGAGGGAAGGGTCTGGAATGTGTATTGTTGGTTTTGTCTTTGGCAGGTCTAGAGAACAGCAGTTGTCGGGGGAGGCAGTGTTGAGAGTTGTTGAGCTGTGTTCTAAGCTTGGTTACTGCCCTTGAGATCTTGCGTTAATAGTTTGGTACTGAGGCCCAGTATTGAGAAAGATTGAAGGTCCCTTCTCTGGGTTCTTTAGTTAACTGTGGTACATTTAAGGATAAAGCTTGCCCTGTTAGAGAAGGGAGTAGAACTAGAAACTTGGAGTAAGGTTAAACTAAATCCAGAGCCATACGGCTAGTCTAGGGCAGGGGCGGTGGCTAACGCCTGTGATTTCAACACTTTGGGAGGCTGAGGTGGGTGGATCACCTGAGGTCAGGAGTTCGAGACCAGCCTGGCCAACATGGTGAAACCCTGTCTCTGCTAAAAAATACAAAAATTAGCTGGGCATGGTGGTGCACGCTTATAATACCAGTTACTGAGGCAGAGGTTGCAGTGAGCCAAGATCGTGCCATTGCACTCTAGTCTGGGTAACGAGCGAAATTCCTGTCTCAAAAAAAAGTCTAGAAGCATTATGGTTCTTTGGAATCTTATGCTCCATAGCTTGTTTGCAGTAACTTAACCTCCTGACCTTGTCAGTTGGAATCTGCATTTTAAACAAAATCCTGACCACTCACCCCTACCTCAGTTGACTTGGGAAGTGCTGCCTTAAAATATCTATCTTTCATTTCTCAGGCCTGGGTAAAGGTGGTATGGTAGCAGACCAGGGACTGGAGATTCCAGAGTTAGGGCTTGGAATATATTTCAGTTTCTGAGTAGGGAAGTTATCTTGACCAAATATTGCCAACTTTGAAAATTTCACTTAAACACTTGTGTTTATACCCAAGTGTCAGGCACAGAGGTGGGAACCTCCTGCATGTTTTTATACTGAGCTGTCAGAACAGACTTGAAGTAGGGGAGGGATAGATTATTCTGCTTTTGTGTGTGCAGATGAGAGCTAAGACTCAAGTGAACTGACTTGCCTAAGGCTGCCCAGCAAGTTAGGGGTCCAAACTGGGTGTATTGAAAAGGCACAGATGTCATATATGCCAGTTAGGGGTAGTGAGTGATAGGCAGTTTTTTCTGAAAGTTTGGCCCTGTATGAGACGGCAGCTGTTACGGTGAGGGGTGAGGAAAGGGGAGGGCTGCCAATGTGCTTGCCTAATAGGGTTGGAACCCTGCTAGGACATGGCTTTGGAGCAGGGCGGACCTCGTCTTGAAGTCTGGCCGCACAGTCCTAAGCGGTATAGGATGGAGGGGGAATCCTTGAGTCTTGCCCAAGCTCCCACCTTTTCCATCTTCAGAGCGGTTTGAGGGGAGGGAGCGGCAGAGGAGGAATTCAGTTGAGGGTGCCATGCAAGCATCTACCAGGGCTGACCAGGTCGTGGGGGAGCCTGCTTCGGAGGAAGAGCCCAAAGGAGGAGTGGAATCCTGAGGCCTGGATTTGGCGAGGGTAGGAAGCCCGTGGGAAGGGAGGGTAGGGTCGCGGACAAGGTATGTGTATAGAAGGTGGAGAAGGATGAGGCCTGGAAGACTTGACTGTTGGCTGTCTGGACTTGATAATGCTGTTGTCTCTACCGGAAGGGAGCCCCGGGCCATTGGATCTTTGGGGGTGGGGGCCTCCGAGGGAGGGACTGGAAGCCAGTCGTAGCGCTGCATTTGAAATGTGAAAAATGGCTGCCTGGCACGTGCCTTTTCACAGGTGTCTCCATCTGTAACCTATCAAACTCCCAACTATGTACGTGAACGACTCTTGCACTTTGGTGACAGGCTTGGGGTCACCTCCTCTGCCTGTTGACGGCAGGCTGACCCTGCAAACTGCCCTTGGCTCACCAGGCTGCCCTGCAGGCTCTGGGGCAGCACCAGCAGCCTCTCACTCACACGGGGCTCGGGCACGAGGGGCGCTCTGAGGCCTCCTCCGGTGCGGTGGGCTCTTTGGAAGTTGACACAAGCTTCTGCACGCACCAGAGTGAAAAATAAATGATTTTATTGCAGGGCCAATGATAGGTAGTCACAAGGGCATGAAATGGCAGATCTCTTGTCTGAAGCAGAGAAGGCACACTGGCAGACTCCATGTGTGTCAAACGCTGTGCATGAATCAGGTTTTTAGAAGGAAGGTAGGAGAGGAAAACTACTCACTAGCAGAACTGAACTGCTGTAAAATAGGTTAAATTCTTTGAAAAGTGAAAAATGATAGTAGCAAAATCATGAAGTTGTATCTGAACCAGAGCCGTGATGTAACCAAGTAAGATGGAAGTTTCCATCCAGAGGAGTTAATTCCGAACAAGTCACAGAAAGGTGAGAGCTGCCGGTTCCGGCACGCTGTCTTCTGGAGTGCCAGTGACCGGGCAAGAAATTTGATTCTTTCCTTTGATACTCTTGGGAAAGAACACATTTCCCAAGCCCCTGGAGACCCACAGGGTTTGGCACTGTCCGTGAGGCTGTGCTCCTGAGGACGGACGTTCAGGAGGCCGTGGAGGAGCAGCGCTGCAGGAGCAGGGTGTGGCAGCTGTCGCACACTCGCACCGGCTTGGGGTAGGAGGGCAGGGCCAGCTCGTTGCTGGAGCAGGTGTTGCAGAAGATGTGGCCACAGTTCCGGCAGTGGTGCTACAGGACGGGAAGAAGGCGGTCACAGGACACCCGGGGAAAAGCCATCCGCACACCCTCCCTGCTTCCTGACCCAGAAGCGCATCATTTGCTGGGAATGGGTTCTTATGTTTCTGTGGGGTGGTGAGGGGCTGTGTGCAAACAAGGGTCTTTTTTTTTTTTTTTTTTTGAGATAGAGTCTTGCTCAGTCGCCCGGGCTGCAGTGCAGTGGCGCGATCTCAGCTCACTGCAAGCTCTGCCTCCCAGGTTCACGCCATTCTCCGGCAGTAGCTGGGTCTACAGGTGCCCGCCACTATACCTGGCTAATTTTTTGTATTTTTAGTAGAGACGGGGTTTCACCATGTTAGCCAGGATGGTCTCGATCTCCTGACCTCGTGATCTGCCTCCGCCTTGGCCTCCCAAAGTGTTGGGATTACAGGCGTGAAACACCGCGCCCGGCTTTTTTTTTTTTTTTTGAGTCTCTGTCGCCCAGGCTGGGGTGCAGTGGCGCAATCTCGGCTCACTGCAACCTCTGCCACCTGGGTTCAAGCGATTCTCCTGCCTCAGCCTCCCAAGTAGCTGGGATTACAAGTGCCTGCCACCGTGCCCGGTTAGTTTTTGTATTTTTTTAGTAGAGATGATGGGGTTTCACCATCTTGGCCAGACTGGTCTTGAACTTCTGACCTCGTGATCCACCCACCTCAGCCTCCCAAAGTGCTAGGATTACAGTCATGAGCCACCGTGCCCGGCCTAAGGGTGTTTTTAAGACAAAAAGTTTACTTTTGCTGTACTTCATCACTAAGCCAGTGAGCTGCTAGTCCATGTTACAGGAAGAGTCTGGTTCGTTCTCTTTGCTGCATTCCAAGGGGGTGGAGTAGATCCCTTTCTAAACAGGTTCCCTGGGTGCCTGATAAGACATCAAGATGAGCACCTGTGCAGCCTCTGCTTCTGACTCCACAGATGGGGACAGCCAGGCCTTGTAGACACATGTGATCTCAAAGGCAGCCTCAGGACGTGGTTTCTAGCTCTGAGCTTACTGCAAGGCACTGCCTGAAACTCGGGTTGGGGAGCGGGTGGGGTAGCTGTGGCTTCCTCTCTTCCACAGAGCTAGGCTGTTGATGGGAACAGACAGAACATGGCTGTGGCAGAAAGGTGGGTGGCGCTGGCAGTGTTTCCTTTAGCTCCCAGTTTTGCTTATACCCAACTCTTCCCCTACCCAGCTGGTCTTGGTGAGACTGTTAATAAGGCCCAGTCAACCCTAGACCCAAGGGTGAGCCTAGGACCTTGTTTCCAGAACCTAAAGGGCAGGGGCAAGCACGCTGCCTAGATCACTAGTGATTTTTGGTGACCTGCTGCCCTGTAGGTTCCCCATAGATTGTTTTTGCCTAAGTTGGGCCAGATTTTGTTCCTGCCGCATACAGAGAATTTTCAATGACACTCCCCTAGAGCAGCTCTGCACACAAGGAGCCCCATCTCCCCAAAAATCATTGTCAATCACTGAAAGGATGTGCTGGAGACCAGGGGCCTATGACTGGCCAAGGCCTCCCAGAAAGAGGGTGCCAGGATGGAAAGCCATCTGCACAGGCAAACAGGAGAGGCGGGGCTGCCCATCTGCCACAGTCAGCACAGTCACCGGGCAGTGAGCCTGCTCTGATATGGGCTTCTGGAACCAGAGAAAGGGGAATCCAGCGGGCAACGACTCAGGGCACTGGGAGGGTGGGTGGAGCCCCCACGTACCTTTCTCCGGGAAATGGAGAACTCCTTCTCACACTGCCTACAGTGTGTCGCTTCGTCATCTTTCAGCCAGGCGTGGCCCTGAAGAGGAAAGGACATTCTAGAATCCACTTTCTGTCTAAGCCCCTGATGAGTGGGTAGCTGCGTTCTGGCCACATCCATTGTCCCTCATAGCACCTGTTTCCTAGTGAGGCACTGTTTCTCCATCAGATGGGGCCTCACAGGACTGTCATCAAGGGGCTCTTTCCCCGTCTGGCCGCAGCCGGGATTTCTGCATCCTAGCTCCGTGCTCCACCTCTTGGCCTCTGCAGGCTGCCCTGGGGCCTCCAGGCGGTCTCCAGCATCTGCTCACTCAGGCACACTCCCACTTTCAATCAGTTCCCTTTGGCTGAAGTAAGCAGAGCGAGCTTCTGGTGCCTGCAACCCTAGACCCTGCCTGAGACACTGGCCGAAGTGCTAGCTGAACTGGCAGGCGCGGAAGAAGGGCCAAATCTGAGTGAGACTAAGACACTTGTTGACGCTGATCCTTGTGGAGAGACAGAAGGTGATGGACAGCGGGCACTGCGTCCCACAGGCCTGAGGAAGCCCTTCTCCATGCGGGCCAAAGCCCTGATTCTTGACCAGCCCTGGGGAGCACATGGACTCCATTCCACAGGGGAGGCGGCTGAGGCTTTGAAAGGTGGCCCCTCAGAGGGCTTTCTCAGGGCGAAGCAGCACCTGTGATTTATTTGGGCTTAGGGACTGGGGTGTTCCAGAGAAGTCAAAGGCATGAGGTACTTTTCTGGCCTGTTAACATCTGCTGGACAAGATTTTCTTGCTGACAAATAGATCCTCACAGACTGAGCTAGAGCCATATACCCTTGGGGCTGCCAGTGTGTGCCCAGGACATTCATCCTGACATCAAAGAGCTCTGGCGGCTCTAGAGTCCTGTTTTATGATTTCTATCCTCTGATGCTGTGAAACTGATATTACCTAGAAGTCCCGGCTGCTGTTAGTTGCTGCCCCTGACCTGGCACTTGGAAGTTAGATGCCCAGAGACATCAGGGTCCCTGCTCTGCACCACGTGGAACAGTGTGCAAAGGGACTGCTTTTGCATTGCTGCCACGGCACAGCTGAGGCCGAAGCGGGGTGCTCCTGCAGGCAAGGCTGTCTTGAAGGCCAGGCTGCCGTGCCCCCGAATGTCTGCCTCCTCTCCCACACTCTCCGCCCTGCAGCTCAGCCTGGCACCCGCACCCACACCGGGCCACCTGCAAACTCCTGCTTTTCGGTGGAATGTGTCATTCTGCCCTCCCCACCAGGGTGCGGAAACCTGGCCCAACTCAGGGCTTGGCTTGAGTGGTCCCTAGCAATGGCACAGGGCACTGCAGTGGGGCTGGCTGGCCTCTGGCCCCTCACTTCAACAGAAGGGCCTGTTTTCCACTGTTTAAAGATATCCGCGGGTCCCTCCTCTCCGCCACCTGCTTCCCCCTTAGGGAATGCCCATCAGGCCTATTTTGAAAGCACAGCTGATGGTGGAGGAACTGGAGTCGGAAGACCTAGGCTCAGCTTCGGCCACCTGTCAGCATCGCCCTCAGCCGAGGGACACGTTTCTGAGCAGCGTTTGGCTTCTCTGTCAATACGTCATCACCACTGCCTCAACCACACGCTCTCACCTGACTGTTGGGATACTTAAACGTACGAGCACACGGGCAGTCAGCACAAGCTGACAGCAAAGAAGTGGTTCTTAGCAAGGCAGTACCTTCAGTGCCTGGTTCACTTCTTTTATATCTTCCATCTTCAGCTTGGACCTAAGGAAAAAAAAAAGGCCATTTCATAGCAGTGAGAGAGAGTGAGGCTCTGAATCCCTAACACAGCTGGCTCTCAGGACTAGCTTTGTGAGGATACCGGACTTGTGAGGAGACCCAGAACGTGAGTTGTTAAAATGCCTTCCGCCTCTGTACAATCCCAGAGTTGCCTCATCACACTGGCTCCCGTCTGCTGAGGGCTGAGGCTGAGCCTGGGACTGCATCTGGCACGAGAACACACTGCTTAGCCTGCAGGGGCTCAAAAAGACTTTGAGGGAGGCTGAGGCGAGAGGATGGCCTGAGGCCAGAAGTCCAAGACCTGGCCCTGTTCTGCACTAGTCTCTACCGCTCTCCCCAGCAGGAACCTGAGTCTGCAGGCTTCTCCCCGGCCTCCATTCTGCTGCCTGCTGTCTGGAAGGGGGAAGGCTCAGATGGCATAGCCATTTGTTCTTGCTCCATTCTTGTTCAGTGTCAGAACAATTCCTTTGTTTACACAAGAGACAGGACTGAACATGGTCTAAATTGGCAGAACTAAACCAAATAAAATGAAGCAGTTTGTGCAATTGAGGGAAACAGTCTGATCCTTTTTTTTTTTTTTTTGAGACAGGATCTTGCTATATTGCCCAGGCTGGAATGCAGTGGTGCAATCATGGCTCACTGCAACCTTGACCTCCTGGGCTCAAGTGATCCTCTCACTTTAGTCTCCCAAGTAGCTGCGACTACAGGTGCATGCCATCACGCCTGGCTAATTTTTGTATTTTTTCTAGAGGTGGGGTTTTGCCATGTTGCCCAGGCTGGTCTTGAACTCCTGACCTCAATTGACCCACCTGCCTCAGCCTCCCAAAGTGCTAGGATTATAGGCCTGAGCCTTTTTCTTTTTTTCTTTTTTTTTTTTGAGATGGAGTCTTGCTGCATTGGCCAGGCTGGAGTGCGGTGGTGTGATCTCGGCTCACTGCAACCTCTGCTTCCTGGGCTCAAGCAATTCTCCTGCCTCAGCTTCCCAAGTAGCTGGGATGACAGGCGCCCGACACCACACCCAGCTTATTTTCTTGTACTTTTACTAGAGATGGGGTTTCACCATATTGGCCTGGCTGGTCTTGAACTCCTGACCTCAAGTGATCCACCTGCCTCGGCCTCCCAAAGTGCTGGGATTAGAGGCCTGAGCCCCCACGCCCAGCCTGGCCTGGGTCTTTCTTAAAAGCTGAGATCAGTCTGAACTATCATCAGATTAGACTCATCTCAGTGACAAAATGGCAGGTCTCTGGGAAACACAGGCTAGACTTCGAAGGGAGGGATTAGAAAACAGCATCAGGGCATTTAGAAAAATCCCTGTGGCTTTTACTAAAGATCGGGAGGCAGCTCCTTCCCTTCCTGGTCCGGCTGCAGAAACAGGAAATAGGCCAGCAGATTGACAGGATGAGAAGAGGCTGCGCAGATGGACAGACCTTGGGAAGCCAGGTCAACAAGGCAAACTGAACATACAAGAACTCTGGGAAACACAATTTAGGAAGAATCCAGATGTTCCCAAGCCAATGAAACTGGAAACTGTTCCTGTAGCTAATGTAGGGCCTGCGAAGAGGCTTTGCCATCTCTGTCATCCGGTATAGGCTTGCAAGAGGAAGAAGGGAAGAGGGGAGAGAGCACAAAAGCAACTCCTCAGGTAGTCCTGTCTGGGTTTGCAAACACCTGATGCTGTGACACCCACAGCACTCACTGGGAGGGAATGGTGGCCAGGCAGCTCACACTGGGATTTGGAAGCTAGGTTAGCCGGTAGTGCCAGGCGGCCACAAAGTGCAACAATACATTTGTTTGTTTGTTTTTGAGACAGAGTTTCACTCTTATTGCCCAGGCTGGAGTGCAATGGCGCGATCTCGGCTCACCGCAACCTCCGCCTCCCAGGTTCAAGCGATTCTCCTGCCTCAGCCTCCTGAGTAGCTGGGATTACAGGCGCGCTCCACCATGCCCGGCTAATTTTATATTTTTAGTAGAGATGGGGTTTCTCCACGTTGGTCAGGCTGGTCTTGAACTCCTGACCTCAGGTGATCCACCCACCTCAGCCTCCCAAAGGGCTGGGATTACAGGCATGAGCCACCACACCCGGCCACAATGATACATTTTAAAGATCAGAGACCAACCACAGTTTCGAGGTCTATGGTCCACTAGGAGGGGACCTGTGACACTGCCTTGCTGTCCATCCAATGTAAAGAGGAAAACACTGGCTGCAAACCCCAGAAGCCAGCTCCACGCCAGCTCTGTTCCACGTCTGCTTCTGGTGAGTGCTCTCGGGATGCCCTCACAGCTGGCCTATGCTCTGAGCATGGGGACAGACACTGGGCCTTGCGTCCCTCAAGGAGCTCCCTGGGGGTTGGGAAGGAACGGGCCAGAGCACGGCAAGTTGACAGGCCAGACGGGAGCAGCACAGGGCACTCAGCTGAGTGGGTGGCAGGCAGGGCGGAGGGTGGGAGGGGAGGAAGCAGCGGCCATGGGCTAGTCTAGAAAGGTAAGAGGCACAGGAGAGACGGCGAGTGGCCAGCACCTGCATCTGGGAGTGGGCAGACCGCATTCCCACCAGAGACATCAGATTCCCTGACCAGCTATTTGTTTTTTTTTTTTGAGATGGATTCTCACTTTTGTTGCCCAGGCTGGAGTGCAGTGGTGCAATCTCGGCTTACTGCAACCTCTGCCTCCCGGGTTCAAGCGATGCTGCTGTCTCAGCCTCCCGAGTAGCTGGGATTACAGGTGCCCACCATGCCTGGCTAATTTTTGTATTTTTAGTAGAGACGGGGCTTCACTATGTTGGCCAGGCTGGTCTCGAACTCCTGACCTCAGGTGATCTGCTCACCTCAGTCTCCCAAAGTGCTGAGATTACAGGCGTGAGCCACCGCACCCGGCCTATTTTCTTAATAGTACTAGACTCTACAAATTTCTGGTGCAGACCAGGCTGTGCTGAGGTCGTGAGCCCCATCTCCTTGGTCATGGTGCTTATGTCAGGCATGGGTACTCGGGAGCAGGGTCAATCTCGGGTGATCCTGGCAGCTATGCACAAAGAAGAGGGAGTTTGTTCCTCTGATAGATGGCCTTGCTGAGTGCTGTTTTGCCCCTGCAGGGTCCAGACCCACCTGTGAGGCAGACAGGATAGCAGAGGTAGGAGACAGAGACCGATTCCTGATGGCTTCTTTTGCTTAAGCCACTTTGAGTTGGATTTCTGTTACTTGCAACCATGCGCCCTGACTCGAGGAGAAAAGCTACCCACTATGTTGAAAATGCAGAATCATCACACAAATGGGCAAGTTCCACAGTCCGCAGTGTGATCCACCCCAAGGCCCAGGCGTCCACAGCAACCTATCTAGACTGGGACACCAAGGAGGAGAGCTGTCAAGTCAGAGGGGAGCAGAACTACCAGGGTCTGCACCCCATCAGCACCTGCAGCAGAGACAGACAGACTCTGGCGGATGCAGTGGCCAGTTCCCCGAAAGGAAGGGGGCTGTGCTGTGCAAGGCGGGTGAGTGCACCTCTACTGTGCCAGGCTTCCGTTCCCAAACCAGCCCTGCTCCCTCTGGCCTGACTGTAGGCTGACCAAGCGATCCTCTCATTGCCCATCTGTTCCCTCAGGCCCTGGATATGAAGCTAAGGAATAGGAGTGTCCTGGTCACTAGGAATGAACGTGCTTCCTGAATTAACTAAGAGCTCGCTGACACCCCATGTGGGTAGCAGAGATCAGTGCTGGGCCCCTCTGAGGCCGGGCTTCCTGAGAGCTCATCCGTGAACGGCGGACTGAGCTCCTAAATGGCCCACCCTCCGTTCGCCAAAAGGAGGTAGGTTTGGGGCCTGAGGGATGTGGTGGGTAGCCTGGTGTGCCTGCAGTGGCAGACAAGGGGAGTGGGGTTCTTACTGGCTGAGGTGCAGGCCCATTTCCTGGAGGGCTTGTTCCTGCTCCTCGCAGATCTTCTGCAGCTCTGCCTTCTCGTCCTGAAGCTCCCGCAACTCCTAAAATGAACAAACCAACCAGATGCTGGACAGAGGATTACACGGTCCTTTTTTTTTTTTTTTTTTTTTTTTTTGAGACAGGGTCTTGCTCTGTTGCCAGGCTGGAGTGCAGTGGCACGATCTTGGCTCACTGCAACCTCCGCCTCCTGGGTTCAAGCGATTCTCCTGCCTCAGCCTCCCAAGTAGCTGGGACTACAGGTGCCCGCCACCATGCCCTGCTAATTTTTGTATTTTCAGTAGAGACGGGGTTTCACCATGTTGGCCAGGATGGTCTCAAACTCCTGACCTCGTGATCTGCCCGCCTCGGCCTCCCAAAGTGCTGGGATTACAGGCGTGAGCCACTGCACTGGCCTTTAAAAAAAAAAAAAAGATTCAGCAACCAGAGCAACAAGCAGATCAGAATGTTTTTCAAGAGCAAAAGGTGGCCAGGCACAGTGGCTTATGCCTATACTTCCAGCACTTTGGGAGGCCAAGACAGGTGGATCACCTGAGGTCAGGAGTTTGAGGCCAACCCGGCCAACATGGTGCAACCCTGTCTCCACTAAAAATACAGAAATTAGCTGGGTGTGGTGGCAGGCACCTGTAATCCCAGCTACTTGGGAGGCTGAGGCAAGAGAACTGCTTGAACCCGGGAGGCGGAGGTTGCAGTGAGCCGAGATGGTGCTACTGTACTCCAGCCTGGGCGACAGAGCAAGACTCCATCTCAAACAAAACAAAACCAAAAAAAAGAGCAAAATGCAGTCCTGTATTAATGTCATTCAAGATTATTTCTTGCTAGCTTACTCTTGACACTGGGCAGCTAAAAGGCAAGCACTCGACGAGGGCTCTGCAGCTGGGGACAGAGACATGGGACAGGATAGTTACATTCATCAGCCACATTAAAAATAGTTACCCTCAGCTGGGCGCAGTGGCTCACACCTGTAATCCCAGCACTGGGAGGCTGAGGTGGGCGGATCACCTGAGGTCAGGCATTCAAGACCAGCCTGGCCAACATGGCAAAACCCCTCCTTTAGTTAAAAATACAAAAATTAGCAGGGCATGGTGGCACATGCCTGCAATCCCAACTACTCGGGAGGCTGAGGCAGGAGAATCGCTTGAACTGGGGAGGCGGAGGTTGCAGTGAGCCGAGATCACACCACTGCACTCCAGCCTGGGCAACAGAGCAAGACTCCGTCTCAAAAAAAAAAAAAAAAAAAAAAAAAAAAAAGTTACCATCATAGGACAAATGAGGCTTTGCCTATTTGAGCTTCTTTTTAAAAGATAAACATTTTACAAAACAGATTGCTATCTCAAAAAATCTATAGAAGAACTGTACACAAAATCACACGAACCTTGCATCAGCAAAGACTAGTTTGAAAGGTGGTTTCCTGTTCAATTCTGAAAAAGCTGCTTTTTTGGAAAGCACTGGTCAAGGATGATGAAGGGGGTGACCTGGGACCTCATTTCATGGCTAGACCACTTGGAGGCTGGCTAGACCATGTGAGGAGCCCTGCACGGAGGGAGTTCCCCAGGGGGCAACGGCACTGACACCTGGGGCCAGTGCACCTTGAGCCAGTCTGTTAAGGCCAGGATGGAGACCCAGAAAGTAACTGGGGTTTCTGGGACCACTGGGAGCAGCGGTGGAGCTCGGGCCCGAGTGGCGGGGTGGCTCTCTGCACACCCTGTGCCGTAGCTTCTGCTTCCATGCACAGGCTTGCAAAGCACAAAGCTGTGGCTTAACTGGGGTTATTAGACATTGTTTTGTTCCTATTGTTGGGGCGGGCTGTAATTGTGTAATTCGAATCTTTTGACAGAAGCATTCTGAAGCAGAATAAAGGAGGTATGCCCCGTGATGAGGCGGGACTTTCTGAAAGTCCTCTTCTGCCCTCCACTTCCTCCCTTCCACTCTCCAAGCCTGATCTGGCTCTTGAGGAAGCTCTCCCTTCCCCAACAACTCCAGGCACTTTCCAATGGAAATCAAAAGGGCCTTTCCTGACTCGCTCGAATCGTGCAGTGTGTCCATTACCACGTTCAACACAACAAAATCCAGGTCCAGAAGCCACCCTGGCCCTGAAGGCCCCTCCGGGGCAGGTGCCGAGGGGAGGTCTGCTTTGGGCTCAGTTTTCCTGCAGCGCTCGGCAGCGCAGGGGCCTGAGAAGAGGGCACGCCATCCCCACGTGGGAGGAGCCCCCCAGAGCGCCCCAGGCTGCAGTCAGCTCCATCCAGGATCGCAGAGCCTCCTCCCCTCTGGGAAAACAGCCGATGATTTTACATTAGGGCAAATGTTCCACACGGCCTCGGAGTTTCCTGGGAGGTCCAGTTCCACAGCCAGACAGTGAAGGCCTGCTGGACCCCACTTCTCTCGCCCTCTGAAGCCCACAGCATCCAGGCCATGCCTCCAAGTGAGAGGGTCCTCCATGGAACTGAGGTGATGTAGGGGAAGTGGAGGGCTGGGGTCGGTCTGCTTCCCAGGGATGACCCGACCCTGGGCACAGTGGCTGAGGTGAGGCTGGCATGTGGTAGGAGATGTTTACTGGTTCCTCCCAGCTTCCTCTCCTGCGAGCCTACCACCCACTCTCCACACAGGAGCCAATGACCATCCGCAAACAGAACGGATCCTGTCCCTCCACCAGCTGCCCACTCTGGTAAAATAAAACCCACGTTCCTTCCCCTGGCTCCCAGGGCCCATGAAGGGCTTCCTCCTGCCTGCCGCCTGAGGCCGCCTCTTTGCTCCTCACACTGCTGTCTGCTCCTGCAGTCTCCACCCAAGAGGTGCTTTGCAGGGCATAACTCACTGGAGCCTCTGCTCACCGGTCGCTCCCTCCCCAGGCCCCTTGCACACGGGTGAGGACACTGTTCTGCTTTATTCTCTTCATGGCACTTGCCTCTATCTGAGCTGCCAGCAGGCTTAGTGGTTTATGATTTGTCTTTGTCTTATGCTCCTAAAACAGGAGCTCCCTAACAGCCTCCCCACACCCTGGAGCCGCCTGGCCCCCACACAAAGGGTGCGGGGAGAGGAGCCTGCCCGGAGCATGTTAGGGGTTTCTGGAGGCTGCCAGAGGCTCTCCTCTCCCGGGATGGCCCACCTCACCTTTTTCAGTCCTTCCACTTGTTGCAGCTCCATCCTGAGTAGAGAGGAAGTGTCTTTCTCGTGCTGTAATTCGCGCTGAAGAGCCTGTCTTTGCTCTTTTTCTGATTTCAATTCTTTCTCCAGGCTTGAGCTGTTTTCCCAAAATGAACTTGAGTTAGTCTCAGTGGGAGACTTTCACGGAAGATTCACAACCCAATTCACCGCCCAGGAAACAGGGAAGTCTCTGAATTGCCTCTTGAGCATCTAAAGCCTTCGGCAACGCTTCCCTCTCCTCCAGGGTCACCTGCCCTTCCACAAGAAAGAGCAGGAACCAGGGAGAGAAAAGCCTGCAGGCACACACTTGACACTTACGCAGGGGAGAAGGAAGAGAGCTCTAGAACACTTAGACCACATAAGCAGAACCCTCCCGACATGGAGACCTGAGGAAAGGAAGCTCAAAATTCGTTCTTTTCTTTTTTTGAGACAGGGTCTAGCTCTGTCACCCCAGCTGGAGTGCAGTGGCGCAACCTCAGCTCACTGCAGCCTCGACCTCCTGGGCTCAAGTGATCCTCCCGCCACAGCTTCCCAAGGTGCAGAGATTACAGGCATGAGCCACCTCACTGGCCAATTCATTCTGCTTTTTGTTTTTTTTTGAGACGGAGTCTCGCTCTGTCGCCCAGGCTGGAGTGCAGTGGCACAATCTTGGCTCACTGCAACCTCTGCCTCCTGGGTTCAAGCTAGTCTCCTGCCTCAGCCTCCCTAGTAGCTGGGATTACAGGCACACGCCACCACGCCCAGCTAATTTTTTGTATTTTTAGTAGAGATGACGTTTCACCATGTTGGCCAGGCTGGTCTTGAACTCCTGACCTCGTGATCTCCCTGCCTCGGCCTCCCAAAAGTGCTGGGATTATGGGCGTGAGCCACCGCGCCCGGCCTCATTCTGCTTTCTACAACCTACAGCCAGACTGACAATGAAGGATCCTGGAGGGAGAAGGCCAGGAGGGAGCCTCAGCCTGAAGCTGACTCTGCCCTTTACCAGCTGAGTGGCCCTGGGGGCACTGCTGGACCGCCTGGAGTCTGCTCTCTCTTTGTGGGAATAAAGATGTCTCTTCTCTCTTCTCTCAACATCAGGCTTTTAACTTGGCATATATATTATCTCAAAAAATCTATAGGCCAGGCACGGTGGTTCACACTTGTAATCCTAGCATTCTGGGAGGCCGAGACGGGTGGATCACTTGAGGCCAGAAGATTGAGACCAGCCTGGCCAACATGGCAAAACCCTGTCTCTAATAAAAATACAAAAATTAGGCTGGGCGCAGTGGCTCACGCCTGTAATCCCAGCACTTTGGGAGGCCGAGATGGGAGGATCACGAGGTGAGGAGATCGAGACCATCCTGGGTTAACACAGTGAAACCCCGTCTCTACTAAAAATACAAAAAATTAGCCAGGTGTGGTGGCTGATGCCTGTAGTCCCAGCTGCTCGGGAGGCTGAGGCAGGAGAATGGCGTGAACCCGGGAGGCAGAGGTTGCAGTGAGCCGAGATCGCGCCACCGCACTCCAGCCTGGGCAAGAGAGTGAGACTCGGTCTCAAAAAAAAAACAAAACAAAACACAAACACAAAAATTAGCCGGGTGTGTTGATGTACACCTGTAGTCCCAGCTACTCAGGAGGCTGAGGCACAAGAATCGCTTGAGCCCAGGAGGTGGGGGTTGCAGTGAGCTGAGACTGCACCACTGCACTCCAGCCTGGATGACAGAGTGAGACTTAAAAAATAAAAAATCTGTAGATGAACTGTGCACAAAATTATATGAAGCTTGCATCAGCAAAGGCTAGGTGAAAGGTGACTTTCTGTTCAACACTGACAAAGCTGTTTCTTTTTAGAAAGGGTGGTTAAGGGTGATACAGGCTGTGACCTGGTACCATGGTTTGAGAGTGGCCAGATCTTCTGGAGGCGAGCTGGACCACGTGAGGAGCCCTGTGGGGAGGGAGCTCCCTAGGGATAACATACGAACCCTGCAGGGGTGAGTGGTGAAGCAGGATACCACCTGCCCCCCCGCCCCCCCTCCTCCCGTTCGTGCTGAAGCAGGATACCACCTGTCCCCAGTTCTTCCCAGTCCCTCCTGAGCCACACCCCAGCCCAGGCTCCCTGCAGGGCCCCTACCATTGCTCGTGCAGCTGGGAGAGCTGCAGCTGCAGGGCGCCGATCCTCCCGCCCAGCTCCTGCTGCAGCTTGTGGCTCCGCTCCTCAGCCCCCTGCCTCGCCCGCTCCGAGTGCTGCAACCTGGATGCGACACCAGCAAGAGTGCAAATGAAGCAAATCTTTGTAAGGAAAGGATGACTTTTGCTGGCTGAAATTCATTTTTAAAATTACCATACAGTAAAATTAACTCTTGTGAGTTTTAACACGTGGAGATTCAGCTCCACCACAATCAGAATACAGGACGGTCCCACCACTCCCAAAACTCCCCACCTCAGCCCCTGGCAACCACTCATCTGTCCTGCAACAATATGGCTTTGGCTTTTTGAGAATGTAATCTCAATGTAATTATACATTATATAACCTTGAGACTGACTTTTTCTCAGAATAATGTCTTGGAGATCAATCCAAGTTTCCATGTGTATCAATGGTTCATGCCTTTTGTTTCCTCTCTGAACGTCCTGAAAGGGCAGTGGTTCATTCCTTTCTACGGCTGAGTCATACTTCACCGCACAGACGTACCACTTTGTTTATCCATCACCCAATGCAGAACATTGGGATTGCTTCTAGCTTTTGGCAGTTATGAACGGAGCTGCTATAAACATATGTACTAGTTTTGGTGTAGACATAAGTTTCATTTCTATTTGGATCATATGGTAAGAGGACGTTTAGCTTCTTGAGAAACTGTTTTCCTGAGTGGTTGCACCATTTTGCATTCCTACCAATAAAGTATGAGAGATCCATTAGCTCCGTGTCCTCATCAGCACTTGGTATTGTCATTAAAGAAACGGTAGCTGGCCAGGTGTGGTGGCTCATGCCTATAATCCCAGCACTTTGGGAGGCCTAGGTGGGCAGATCACCTGAGGTCGGGAGTTCGAGACCAGCCTGATCAATATGGAGAAACCCCATCTCTACAAAAATACAAAATTAGCCGGGCATGGTGGCAGGCACCTGTAATCCCAGCTACTTGGGAGGCTGAGGCAGGAGAATTGCTTGAACCTGGGAGGTAGAGATTGCGGTGAGCTGAGATCGCACCATTGCACTCTAGCCTGGGCAATGAGAGCGAAACTCTGGCTCAAAAAAAAAAAAAAACAAGAACAAACAAACAAAAAACCAAAAAGAAACCGTAGCTGCCCTAACAGATGTGTGGTGGGATTGTGCCACTCACTTCTCTAGTGGCTCATGATCTGAATATCATCTCATGTACTTTTTTGCTGTCCATATGTTGTCTTTGATGAAGTATCTGTTTCAAGTCTTTTGCCCCCTCCTTTTTTTGTTTTGTTTTGAGATGAAGTTTCTTTCTTGTTGCCCACTAATTTTTTGTATTTTTAGTAGAGACGGGGTTTCACCGTTTTAGCCGGGATGGTCTCGATCTCCTGACCTCGTGATCCGCCCGCCTCGGCCTCCCAAAGTGCTGGGATTACAGGCGTGAGCCACCGCGCCCGTCCTAATTTTTAGTATTTTTAGTAAAGACAGGGTTTCACCATGTTGGCCAGCCTGTTCTTGAACTTCTGACCTTAAGTGATCCTCCCGCGTCGGCCTCCCAAAGTGTTGGGATTACAGGCGTGAGCCACCGCGCCCAGCCTCTCCCCTGCACTTTGGAGAGGGACTCTGAATAAGTCTCCAGGCCCAGGGAATGCTCAGAGCCTTCCCGAGAATATCTGCCAGGGGGAAGTGATTACCTTTCTTCCATTTGTTTCATGCTGGACATAACTTGGTTGGTTTTTCCTTCAAAGGATGTGATGGCTTCATTCTTCTGCTGCAAACTGCTCTCTGCATTCTACAAAAGCAAAGGAAGGGTTCATACTCTGCCTGTCCCACATCCTTGCACCTGCTCTGGATTACAAACAGGGCTTATTTGCTTTTTTTTTTTTTTTTTTTTTTTGAGACAGAGTCTTGCTCTGTCACCCAGGCTAGAGTGCAGTGGCGTGATCTTGGCTCACTGCCAGCTCCGCCTCCCGGGTTCACGCCATTCTCCTGCCTCAGCCTCCCAAGTAGCTGGGACTACAGGCGCCCGCCACCACATCTGGCTAATTTTTTGTATTTTTAGTAGAGACGGGGTTTCACTATGTTGACCAGGCTGGTCTCGAACACCTGACGTCGTGATCCGCCTGCCTTGGCCTCCCAGAGTGCTGGGATTACAGGTGTGAGCCACCACGCCCGGACTAGATGCTGTTTTTCAAAATCTGGCATGATTGGTTCTGTCTGGGACAGTTCCCTTGGACCACCCTGAAATGACACAGGAGAGGCAACCAGCTACCTATGTGGCCCGGAAGACTCAGAAAGATTAACTTAGCGGCAAAGTTTGAAAAGACAATACTAAATGACTTTTTTTTTTTTTCCCCCGAGTTGGAGTTGCGCTCTGTTGCCCAGGCTGGAGTGCAACGGAATGATTTCGGCTCACTGCAACCTGTCTCCCGGGTTCAAGCAATTCTCCTGCCTCAGCCTTCTGAGTATCTGGGATTAGAGGCGTGCACCTCCATGCCCAGCTAATTTTTGTATTTTTAGTAGAGACGGTGTTTCACCATGCTGGCCAGGCTAGTCTCAAACTCCTGACCTCGTGATCTGCCCGCTCGGCCTCCCAAAGTGCTGGGATTACAAGCGTGAGCCACCGTGCCTGGCTCTAAATGACGTCTTTAATTCTCTCCTCCATGCTTGCTATAAACAATAAATCGTTGAAATAGAAGAAAACAGACAGTGGAGGGACAGTGAAGGTGGATGGACAAAGTTTGGGTTTGGGTTAAAAAGACCCACGTCTCCCCTTAGAAGCTACGTCACCAGGGGCATGTGACTTAGTGACTTGGCTCTGCCTTGTCACTTACATTTCCCCCCATTTCTCAGGGACTGCCATGAGGATCAAAATCATAATAGGTCCTAGGAGCAGGTCTGACACATACGAGGGGCTCTATGTGTCTACTCGCTCATTTTGTAAGAAGAATGACACAAGACTGGCGAGCAGCAGAAACCAGGCTGTGCCATGGACACAAAGCCAACTCCCACCTGAGCTTTGTGAAACATCTGTAAATTAATCGCTTTGACTTCTTCCAGCTGCTGGCGGAGGGCAACTAGTGTGTCCTGCTTCTCGTGGGTGTCCTTTTCCAGTAACTTCATTGCAATTTCCATTTCGGTTTTCATTCCAATTTGTAACTCCAGTTCTTTTTCCAGTTCCTTAAAAGGATATTTACAAGGAAAATGTTATTAAAATAGATCACAGAAATGTATTTAACTGGGGTTGAATCTCAGGTAATGCTTAAAATACAAACTGAAGGCTGGGTGTGGTGGCTCATGCCTGTAATCCTCAGCACTTTGGGAGGCTGAGGTGGGCGGATCACTTGAGGCCAGGAGTTCGAGAGCAGCCTGGCCAAGATGGCGAAACCCCATCTCTACTAAAAATACAAAAATTAGCTGGGTGTGGTGGCATGCGCCTGTAATCCCAGCTACTCTCAGGAGGCTGAGGCAGGAGGATTGCTTGAATCCGGGAGGCGGAGGCTGCAGTGAGCCGAAATCACACCACTCCAGCCTGGGTGACAGGGTGAGACTGTCTTAAAGAAAAAAACAAACCAAAACAAAACAAACAAACTGAAGGTGAGAATAGCTTAGGGAGATTGAAAAGAGTCTGTCTGGGGCAGGAGTAGATGGTGTTTGCCCTTTTCCTCACTGCACGGTTAAAGCTGACTCCACATCAAGTCAACAGAAAGCTGGTCAGTAACAGGATGAGCCTAGGTTCCAGCAACCATGTTTTCCATACCCACAGATCAGAATGCATGTTTTCAAAGAATATCTGTCTCGTTTGAGTGCTGGAAGAGATCTGATAGTGCAATGTTAGAATTTCTGGAATGGTTTGCTAGTTTATAGCAACAAAAGTGCAACCATTTCGAAATGGTTCTGTCCTGACCCAGGACATGTTTCCCTGCATCCATGCAAAGAAGCAAAGAAATAAAGCAGGTACAAGAACAGTGTTTACAAGTAACTCTGGTCACTGATGCACAGGTTGAGTGGAAATAAATAGGCCAGAGGTTATGACGGAGAGAATTGTATTGTCAAAGAAACCGTTAATCTGGTCTCATAGCAATCCCTGTAAAGATTTATAAAATGGCCAGGCGCAGTGGCTCACGCCTGTAATCCCAGCACTTTGGGATGCCGAGGCAGGTGGATCACGAGGTCAGGAGTTCAAGACCAGCCTGCCCAAGATGGTGAAACTCCGTTTCTACTAAAAATACAAAAAACTGGCCGGGCACGGTGGCTCAGGCCTGTAATCCCAGCACTTTGGGAGGCTCAGGCGGGCGGATCACAAAGTCAGGAGATGGAGAACATCTTGGCCAACATGGTGAAACCCCATCTCTACTAAAAATACAAATATTAGCCAGGCATGGTGGCGTATGCCTGTAGTCCCAGCTACTCTGGAGGCTGAGGCAGGAGAATTGCTTGAACCTGGGAGGCAGACGTTGCAGTGAGCCGAGATCACACCACTGCACTCTAGCCTGGGCGACAAGAGTGAAACTCCGTCTCAAAAAAAAAACCAAAAACCAAAAAATTAGCCGGGTGTGGTGGCGGGTGCCTGCAATCCCAGCTACTCGGGAGGCTGAGGCAGAGAACTGCTTGAACCCAGGAGGCAGAGTTTGCAGTGGGCCAAGATCGCGCCATCGCACTCCAGCCTGGACAACAGAGTGAGACTCCGTCTTGAAAAAAAACCCAAACAAACAAAAAATATTTATAAAATGGGAAAAAATATGAGTGACAATGCACAACTGAGTTGTAACCATAGACTTAAAAAAAATTTTTTTAATGAACAGCTTCTGACTTTCTATGACCATCAGGATGGTGAAGCATGTCTATGAAAAGTGTTGACAGAATTAACACTACGGGGAAACTCTTTCTAAAGACACTCGGTCTTGCACACTCACCAACCGGACTTTCTTCTCCTCTTTTAGCTGCTTCCACACATCACTGTACATTTCATCCAGACCTTGCCGAGTTTGCTTGTAAGTCTCCAGCTCAACTTTGGTATCCTGTTTTGTTATCTGTATCAAACAAGGACACCAAGAGGAATTGTTTGCTTATGGAAAGCAAGCTAATTATGAAGTATTTCAAAATATACCACAATTTTAAAAAATGTAAGGTAATTTTTATTTTTTAAGCATGGTAGAAAAAGGTTAAAACTTGGCTGGGCGCATTGGCTCACGCCTGTAATCCCAGCACTTTGGGAGGCCGAGGCGGGCGGATCACGAGGTCAGGCGATCGAGACCATCCTGGCTAACATGGTGAAACCCCGTCTCTACTAAAAACACAAACAATTAGCTGGGCGTGGTGGTGGGCGCCTGTAGTCCCAGCTACTTGGGAGGCTGAGGCAGGAGAATGGCGTGAACCCGGGAGGCAGAGCTTGCAGTGAGCCAAGATCGTGCCATTGCACTCCAGCCTGGGCGACAGGGCAAGACTCCATCCCCCCACCAAAAAAAAACAAAAAAAAGAAGAATGAGAATAAGTCAATAGATATTTGAAAAGTTAAGTTCATAGGCTGGGTGTGGTGGCTCATGCCTGTAATCCCAGCACTTTGGAAGGCCAAGGCGGGAGATCACTTGAGGTCAGGAGTTTGACACCAGCCTGGCCAACATGGTGAAACCCTGTCTCTACTAAAAATACAAAAATTAGTCGGGTGTGGTGGCATGTGCCTATAATTCCAGCTACTTGGGAGGCTGAGGCAGGAAAATCGCTTGAATCCGGGAGGTGGAGGTTGCAGTGAGCTAAGATCACGCCACTACATTCCAGCCTGGGTGACAGCAAGACTCTGTTTCCAAAAAAAAAAAAAGTTACATTGATAAAGCAATTTAAATTTAATTTTCTTTAAAACAGAACAAGACTTGGCCGGGTGCGGTGGCTCATGACTGTAATCCCAGCACTTTGGGAGGCCGAGGCGGGTGGATCACGAGGTCAGGAGATCGAGACCATCTGGCCAACATGGTGAAACCCCGTCTCTACTAAAAATATAGAAAAAAATTAGCTGGGCGTAGTAGCAGGCGCCTGTAGTCCCAGCTACTGGGGAGGCTGAGGCAGGAGAATGGCGTGAACCTGGGAGGCGGAGCTTGCAGTGAGTCGAGATCACGCCACTGCACTCCAGCCTGGGCGACAGAGGGAGACTCTGTCTAGAAACAAACAAACAACAACAACAAAAACAGAACAAGACTCCATTCGCAGGAAAAACCCTCATTCAACTCATCATCCAGTACTTATGAACATGTTTTTAGCACTGAGTGAATTTAGAAGTCAATCAGATATGGTCTCTCTTTTTTTTTTTGAGACGGAGTCTTGCTCTATGGCCCAGGCTGGAGTGCAGTGGCGCGATCTCAGCTCACTGCAAGCTCCATCTCCCGGGTTCACACCATTCTCCTGCCTCAGCCTCCCGAGCAGCTGGGACTACAGGCACCTGCCACCACGCCCAGCTAACTGTTTTGTATTTTTAGTAGAGACGGGGTTTCACTGTGTTAGCCAGGACAGTCTCGATCTCCTGGCCTCGTGATCCGCCCGCCTCGGCCTCCCAAAGTGCTGGGATTACAGGTGTGAGCCACTGTGCCCGGCCCAGATATGGTTTCTATCCTCAAGTCATCATGTGATAGAGCTGCAAGCCAACAATTCTACAAAACAGCAAAGGGACTGTATCATGGAAGGACACAAAGAGCAATGGGAATACAGGAGGATGGCCCAGGCCCGCCCACGGCTCCTGGGATGACATCATGGAGGACATGGCAGGTGAGTGGATGCTGAAGAACGAGTAGGAACTTTGGCATGCAAAGGCCCACAGGCCATGAAGGGAGTCCCCGTCCAAGGGATCCAGGTGGTCTGAGAGTGATGTGGGCAGGGACCGCAGTGAGAGGCCCTTTCTGACATAAGCAAGGCACCTTTGCATTCTGAAGACTGGGTTGTTGTTAAGCCATGAGCTTGAGATTGACAATAGGTGTGTCTGAGTGAGAAACATGCTGCCCAAATGTAGGTCAATTTCTCACCTCTACACTCTTTTCACTTCTTTCTCGAATTAATTCATTTTGTTCTCTTAACTGCTGCTGTTCTTCTTGAAGTGAGCAAATTCGGTCTGTTGCAGCTGAAAGCTGATTAAGGAAAATTTTTACAGTTCTTAACATCAAAATTAATCTTATTGTTCAAATTAAAAACATTAATTTGGCATCTTCACAGTTGACAATGTATGTTCACAGGTTTGATATTTTATTTCCTTGTTTTCAATAGGTAATAATACATGGTTCCAAATTCCAAAGACATGAAAATGTATGTAGTAAAATCTCTCCTCCGCCCTTGCCCCTAGCCATCTCTGCCCTCTCCAGATTTTCTCCCTCTACAAAAATGATAGCATATTGCTGAATGTGGACAAAGATTTATAGACACAAAAAATTAGAAACAGCCTGAATGTTCACTATTAGGGAAATAGTTACATCATAGTGGAAGCATAAAACAAACATGTACTCAATAAAATGTTTACAAAAACTTTTAATCACTTGAGAACATACTTAAGATATAATACTAATAAGGAAAAAAGGTTATATGGTATGCTCTCACCTGTATTAAAAAAAAATCAACTAGGTTAAAAATGCTTAAGAAAAGATGGAGTGGCTGGGTACAGTGGCTCACACCTGTAATTCCAGCACTTTGGGAGGCTGAGGTGGGTGGACTGCTTGAGCCCAGGAGTTCGAGACCAGCCTGGGCAACATGGTGAAACCCCATCTCTACAAAAAACACAAAAATCAGCCAGGAGTGATGTCTCATGCCTGTAATTCCAGCTACTTAGGAGGCTGAGGTGGGAGGATGGCTTGAGCCCAGGAGGCGGAGGTTGCAGTGAGCTGAGATCATGCCACCGCACTCCAGCCTGGGTGACAAAGCCACAGCCTGTCTCAAAAAAGAAAAAAGAAAAGTTGGGAACAATACAAATCAAATAATAAAATGACAAGAATAGTTGTCACTTAGTAAAGGGGTTATGGGCTTTTTTCCTGACTCTTCTTTCTTTCCAGTTTTTCCAGCTAATGATCGGTAAAAGTATATTTAAATCACTAGAGGGAGAATTAAAGAATTTGCAGGGAGGAATAAAAAACAAATCATTGAAGATATGCCCAAGAGGACCTCTTATTCCCCTGGAAGGACTTCTCATGGCTGAGGGAAAAGCATAGAGAAGCAGGACGCTGTCCAGGACCTGCCTAAGGAGAGGCTGTCACAAGAGGCAAGGCAGATGAGTAAACACACCAACCCATCCCTCCTCATTCCAGCCTCATCACACAGCTTGCAGAGAGGAAGGTGCAGCTGGGGAGAAAGAAGCAAGATCTCTGTCCTTGGTGCTTGGCTGGCTCTCGGCATCATTCACTAGTGGAGGGACCTCGAAGCACTGAACTCCTCACTTTCTCTGTCAACAGTGTCTACACCCCCTGAGAATTCCTCTCCACTTAGACTCAGAACCCAGGCCTGGGGTTTCTACACATTAACTGCTGTGCCCAAAAAAAGAAACACCAAGGCTTGAAAGGGCGTGTTACTTGCCCGAAGGGAAGAAGCAGGCAAAAACCATAAGCTAATTCCCATTCCACTCTCTGGAGATGCAGAGAGCACACCCTGAAGAGGGCTACGCTTTTCATTAAGCACATTTCTTTGTTTTTTTAATTGAGACAGGGTGTTACTCTGTCTCACTGCAGCCTCCAACTCCTAGGCTCAAGTGATCCTCTCACCTCAGCCTCCCGAGTAGCTGGGAGTACAGGTGTGTGTCACCACAGCTAACTTTTAAATTTTTTGTAGAGACAGGGTGTTGCCATGTTGCCCAGGCTGGTCTCAAACTCCTGGGCTGAAGCAAGTCTTCCACCTTGGCCTCCCAAAGAGCTGGGATTTACAGGCATGAGCCACCACACCTGCCTGAAGCACATTTTCTATTACAATCATTTGCCTTTAAAGAAAACATAACCTGGCTGGGTGCAGTGGCTCATGCCTGTAATCCCAGCACTTTGGGAGGCCGAGGTGGGCAGATCACAAGGTCAGGAGATTGAGACCATCCTGGCTAACATGGTGAAATGCCATCTCTACTAAAAAAAAAAAAAAAAAAAAAATTTAGCCGGGCGTGGTGGCGGGCGCCTGTAGTCCCAGCTACTCGGGAGGCTGAGGCAGGAGAATGGCGTGAACCCGGGAGGTGGAGCTTGGGAGCTTGCAGTGAGCGGAGATCACGTCACTACTGCACTCCAGCCTGGGAGACAGAGCAAGACTCTGTCTCAAAAAAAAAAAAAAAAGAAAGAAAGAAAAAAGAAAACATAACCGAAGCTGGGCTCAGTGACTCATGTCTGTAATCCTAGCACTTTGGGAGGCCAAGGTGGGTGGGTCACTTTAGCCCAGGAGTTTGAGACCAGCCTGAACAACAAAGTGAGATCCCGTCTCTACAAAGAGTTAAAAAATTAGCCGGGTGTTGGTGGTGTGTACCTGTAGTCCCAGCTACTGGGAGGTTGAGGCAGGAGGGTCTCTTGAGCCCAGAAGTCTGAGGTTACAGTAAGCTATGACTGCGCCACTGCACTCCAGCCTGGGTGACAGAGTGAGACCCTGTCTCAAAAAGCAGAAAAACCCCACATAACTCTGCTTAGTTTCAAAAGCTCAATTGGAGCTTCATCAAAGCACGCCATCTTGACTGAGATGCAGGGAATCTGCTTGTTCTAAAATCAAACAACTCGAGTGCTCCCACGTGGCAAGTGTTGTCCTGAGCACATTTACCAGATATTCGTCTTAATCTTTGCAACAGTAAAGGATGTATTATTACCTAATTTGGAGGTGACAAAAGTGAGGCTCAACCACCGACCTGCCTGACCTGAGGCTCAAAGGCCTGCCTACCAAGGTGACTGTGAAGCCTCCAATCCTAAGTTCCATGAAGCTTCTCCCATGACACCCCCATCTGTGACACCGTCTTGAATTTCCTTCTACTCACACAAATCTGAGCTCCTTTCCTGAAGGCCTTTCAGGGCTGGCGCCTCAGGAGGGAGCAGTCAGCTTTAAGGGAGGCTTACACGGGGTCCCTCATTACAGAGATGGGCTCTGAGGCTCTCTTCTCTGCTGTAACCCACCTCCATGCCGTGGAGGTGTTCCTTCTCAAGCCCCTCTCAGAGCCCTTGTCCTTCTAGGTGGGAGGCCTGGGCAGCCGGGGACTGCTACCTGTGGAAAGCCTCAGAAGGGCTGAGCACCCCCCTCCTGCTAACAGGAGACAAGATGTGTCCAGCAAGGAGACTGCCGGGCAGCTGGCAGCAAGCTCTCTTCCTCGGCTCAGCCCTCCTTTGTCCTGTCCTTTCATTCTCTCTTCCTAGTGAGAAAGCAGAGAAAGACCGCACTGTGGGGAGGCTGGTTGCATGCTCCTGAGGCCAAAGCAGAAGGGGTGGGCTGGATACTTATTCCTTATGACAGAGTCTGTGCTTTCTGGGGCAGCAGGGAGGCACACGGCATCATGGGAAGGGCAGAAAAAGAGGAAGACACGGCACTTCCACAACACAAGCTGGGCTCTTCCAAAGAACAATTTCCTTCTATGGGATGACTTTGAGGTGATAAAATCTAAGTCACTTAGAACTGGCTCGTGATCCGCTGCAGTGTCTCACTGGGAGCCTCGGACAGAGCAGAACACAGACATTCTCCTGTCCCACGTGGGGTAGCTGGAGGCTAGCAAGTCCCCTTCCTACCAGCAGGAAGCTCTGCTATCGCAGACCGACTACACAGATTCTCTTAACCTTGGGTCATTCTGTTTTGTCTAAAAATTTCAATAAAACTTACAAACCTCTTCTTGAAGCTTTGAGTTAGTCTTTTCCAAGCCATCTATCTTGGTTTGAAGATCCCCAACTGTGCAGCTGTAGAAAATAAGAATATTAAGTAAACATAAACTTATACAAGCTGACTGTTTTCTCAATCTGTAAACAGTAAGAGAGATTCCTAGATTTCCTGTATGAAATGGAAAGGCAGAGGGTCTCCAATTAACTCAGAGAAGATGAGAATTCTAAATATACATTTGCAACATACTTTTCAATAAGTTTTGTCCCGAAAATTTAATCTTTCTTTTTTTATTTTGAGGCAAAGTCTCGCTCTGTCGCCCAGACTAGAGTGCAGTGGAGTGATCTTGGCTCACTGCAACCTCTGCCTCCCGGGTTCAAGCGATTTTCCAGCCTCAGCCTCCCGAATAGCCTAGACTACAGGTGCGTGCCACTGCACCTGGCTAATTTTTTTGTATTTTTAGTAGAGACAGGGTTTCACCATGTTGGCCAGGCTGGTCTCGAACTCCTGACCTCAGGTGAGGCTGCCCACCCTGGCCTTCCAAAGTGCTGGGACTACAGGCATGAACCACTGTGCCCGGCCTATTTCTTTTTTAGTCATCTGGAAAGAGAATTTTTTTCTCCCAACACAAATGGTGATAGAAACCAAAATGTGTTGGCAGTCATATACCTAAAGTAAAATTCATTAACAAGGTATTAGTATTTTTGGGTAGAAGGATCCAAGGTGTTTTTTGTTTGTTTGTTTTGAGACAGAGTCTTACTCTTTCGCCTAGTCTGGAGTGCAGTGGCGCGAGCTCAACTCACTGGAACCTCCACCTCCTGGGTTCAGGTGATTCTCCTGCCTCAGCCTCCCAAATAGCTGGGACCACAGGCGCCCGTCAACATGCTCGGCTAATTGTATTTTTAGTAGAGACGGGGTTTCACTGTGTTAGCCAGGATGGTCTCAATCTCCTGACCTCGTGATCTGCCTGCTTCGGCCTCCCAAAGTGCTGGGATCACAGGCGTGAGCCACTGCGCCCGGTCCCAAGGTGTTTTTAAATCCCTTTTACACCTTCCCCATTTAAAAAATATTATTTAATAACATGTACTACTTTTTTTTGTTTTTTTTTGTTTTTGAAACAGGGTCTTGCTCTGTCGCCCAGGCTGGAGTGCAGTGGTGTGATCATGGCTCACTGTAGCCTCAACCTCCAAGGCTCATGATCCTCCCACCTTGGCCTCCCACCTTGCCACCAGGCCCAGCTAATTTTTGTATTTTTTTGTAGAGGTGAGGTTTCACTATGTCACCCAGACTGATCTTGAACTCCTGGGCTCAGGTGATCCTCCTCCTGCCCCAGCCTCCCAAACTGCTGAGATTACTGGCATGAGCTTCCACACCTGGCCTCTAAGCACTTTAAATGCATCAACTCATTTAATCTTCCCCACAATTCAATGAGGTAGATCCTACTGTTAGCCCATTTTACAGACAAGGCAGCCATAATTTTATATAAAAGAATTCACTCAAGTTCACATATCTACAAAGGGGTGCTGGCATCTGAACCCAGGGAATCTGGCTCTAGAGCCTGTACTTCTGGGCAACAGGTCATGCTGCCAAAGACCAGTCCCTGTTGCCAGTGAGTGGGGGACAAAGAAATAAACTTAGCAAGGCTAATGAACCAAGGCTTAGGAACCGGGGGACAAATATAAAAATACAAAGACACAAAATGAAAAAGGGAAAAAAACCAAAAGATACAGAGGGAATGGAAAGTTTTAAGAGTATACAATTGTCAATTCTGTGCCAACTTGATAATTTAGAAAATACCCCCCAATTGTATATTTTTCTTAAAAATATAGGCCTGACGTGGTGGCTCACGCCTGTAATCCCAGCACTTTGGGAGGCCGAGGCGGGCGGATCACAACGTCAGGAGATCGAGACCATCCTGGCTAACACGGTGAAACCCCGTCTCTACTAAAATACAAAAAATTAGCTGGGCATGGTGGTGGGCGCCTGCAATCCCAGCTACTTGGGAGGCTGAGGCAGGAGAATGGCGTGAACCTGGGAGGCGAAGCTTGCAGTGAGCGGAGATCATGCCACTGCACTCCAGCCTGGGCGACAGAGCAGGACTCTGTCTCAAAAAAATAAAATAAAATAAAAAATAAAAATAAATAAAAATATAAATGACTGGCCGGGCACAGTGGCTCAACACCTGCAATCCCAGCACTTTGGGAGGCCGAGGCGGGCGGATCACGTGGTCAGGAGATCGAGACCATCCTGGCTAACACAGTGAAACCCAGTTTCTACTAAAAATACAAAAAATTAGCCAAGTGTGGTGGCAGGTGCCTGTAGTTCCAGCTACTCGAGAGGCTGAGGCAGGAGAATGGCGTGAACCTGGGAGGCGGAGCTTGCAGTGAGCCGAGATCGCGCTACTGCACTCCAGCCTGGGCGACAGAGCAAAACTCCGTCTTAAAATATATATATATATATATATTTATATGAGAAAAGATATATCCTCAAAAGAAAACCCAGATGAACTAAGTAAAAACTGAAAAGCTAGCAACGTATTGCCTCATAAATGCTTTCAGCTTCATAAATTTTTTTTTGAGACAGAGTCTCACTCTGTCACCCAGGCTGGAGTGCAGTGGCGCAATCTCAGCTCACCACAACCTCTGCCTCCCAGGTTCAAGTGATTCTCTTGCCTCAGCCTCGAGCAGCTGGGACTACAGATGCCCGCCACCATGCCGGTTAATTTTTGTATTTTTAGTAGAGATGGGGTTTCACCATGTTGGCCAGGTTGATCTTGAACTCCTGATCTCAGGTAATCCATCTGCCTTGGCCTCCCAAAGTGCTGGGATTACAATCGTGAGCCATCACACCTGGCTGCTTCATATTCACAAGGGGCAAATAATGCCCATGATCTAGAAGCTAGCTGTTCCCAGGCATAAGGAAAAGCTTACTAATTCATTTTGCAATGCTACATAACCCTGATATGATGGCGGAGAAAGAAAACTATAAAATTTCAGCAAGTCAGGTTTATTTTTATTTTTATTTTTATTTTTGAGATGGAGTTTCGCTCTTGTTGCCCAGGCTGGAGTGCAATGGTGCAATCTCGGCTCACTGCAACCTCCGTCTCCCGGGTCCAAGCGATTCTTCTGCCTCAGCCTCTCGAGTAACTGGGATTACAGGCACGCACCACCACGCCTGCCTAATTTTGTATTTTTAGTAGAGATGGGGTTTCCCCATGTTGGTCTCGAACTCCCAACCTCAGGTAATCCACCCACGTCGGCCTCCCAAAGTGTTGGGATTACAGGTGTGAGCCACCACACCCAACCAGGTTACATGTTAAAAGGATAATTGAATTATGAAAACTATGATCCTGGCTGGGCGAGGTGGCTCATGCCTATAACCCAGCAGTTGGGAGGCTAACCAGGGAAGATTGCTTGAGGCCAAGAGTTTGAGACCACCTTGGGCAACAAAGTGAGACCCTGTCTCTACAAAAAATACAAAAAATTAGCCAGGTGTAGTGGTGCATGCCTGTAGTTCCTGCTACTTGGGAGGCTGAGGTGGGCAAATCACCGGAGCCCAGGGAGGTGGAGGCTGCAGTGAGCCACGATTGTACCACAGCACTCCAGCCTGGGTGACAGAGTAAGACCTTGTCTCAAAAAATCATAATAAAAAATATTATGATCAAGTGGAGTTTATTCCTGTGATACAGGAATGGTCCAGTATGAAGAAGTCTATTAATAAAATACACCACATCAGTAGATTATGGGATGAAAACCATGATTACATTAACGGACACTAAAAGGTATTTTCTAAAATTTAATATCTATTTCTTATAAATACTCTCAATAAACTAGTAATCGACCAAAAAACTCTTTCAAAAAATAGCCAACATCACAGTTAAGAAGAGCCTCAGGCTGGGTGTGGTGGCTCATGCCTGTAATTCTAGCACTTTGGGTGGCTAAGGTGGGAGGATTGCTTGAGCCCAGGAGTTTGAGACCAGTCTGGGCAACATGGCGGAGCACTGTCTCTACAAAAAATACAAAAATTAGCCAGGAGGGGTGACGTGTGCTTGTAGTCCCAGCTACTTAGGAGGCTGAGGTGGGAGAATCAATTGCCTGAGCCTGGGAATTCGAGGCTACAGTGATCTGAGATCACGCCACTACACTTCAGCCTGGGCAACAGAGTGAGACCCTGTCAAAAAAAAAAAAAAGAAAAGTAAAAACAGCCCCAGAGCAATGTGTCCGTAACTGCACCGGGAGGAACATGCCAGCTTCTTCACCTGGCTTTTGGGGCCGGAGAGGTGGCCACTGTGGAGAACTGTAATGTGCAATGTACTCTCTAGAGGGGACTCAGAAAGGGAATAACATGTCTCTCCACATTCCCCACAAATACCTCCAAGGATTAGTGTTTCATGAAACACATCCACAGATTTCCAGCAAAAAAAAAAAAAAAAAAAAATCAAGATAAAGATGCCGGTGATCACTAGTACATTGCTCTGGAGGGCCTAGCCCAGTGGTTTTCAACTCTTTTTTCCTGGCCTAATGCACTGGGTGCTGTGTGCTGATTCCCAGCAGCAACAGTGCTTGCCATGAAGGGATTTCCAGCCACGTGGCTGTGGGGCGAGGAATGGAGAGTCAAGGTTTAATGTAGTTACTTCTGTGTATTATGTAACTGCAAAAAGCACAGAATAAAGATTTCCCAAGAGTTTATCAAGAAGAAATCATACTTCTTCAGTTTGTACAAATAAATGTTGCCTGAATGATGACCCTTTTGTCTTGGTTTGGAAACAAGTTATTTATAAATACGTGGCAACTCGAAGTTCCATGAAGCAATGACAGGATACCGAGTATGTAACTGTCACATTGAAAAAAAAAGGAGTCTTACCTCAAGTGCCGGTTAAGTTCTTCCACATAATTTTTTTGATCAAGGACATCAGTAATTCTTTCATGCCTTTTAAAAGGAGCATAAGAAGGAAGAACTTTTTTTTATTAATGGTTAATACTTTGTAACTGTTCCCCAATATTCCAATCACCTTGTAGAAGTACCAATGTCTTCAAGAAACCAAGAGACAGCCAGAGCTCAGTAACATCCACATCCCAGAGTACAGAGAGAAAGCCAGCCTGGGTCACAGTAGTCAGCGTCTCCAGGGCCAGGCTGCCAGGAGAGTGGGCTCCCTGCAGACCAAGGTTTCAGGATGAGCAAGCAAGGTGAAAACACCAACTTGCCACACGCAAATGGCTCGACACAACCCTTATACTACTGAAGGAAAGGAGCGCACGGGACTTTTCAAAACACGAAGCTCATCAGTCTAAAGTCTAGGCCAGTTTGGATTAAAAAAAAAAAACAAAAAAAACTGGCCAGGCGTGGTGGCTCACGCCTGTAATCCCAGCACTTTTGAAGGCCAAGGTGGGCAGATCACGAGGTCAGGAGATGGAGACCATCCTGGCTAACACGGTGAAACCCCGTCTCTACTAAAAATACAAAAAATTAGCCGGGCGTGGTGGCGGGCGCCTGTAGTCCCAGCTCCTCGGGAGGCTGAGGCAGGAGAATGGCGTGAACCCGGGAGGCGGAGCTTGCAGTGAGCCGAGATGGCGCCACTGCACTCCAGCCTGGGCGACAGAGCGAGACTCCGTCTCAAAAAAAAAAAAAAATATACACACACACACACACACACACACACACACACACACGGAATTTTTTGATTTGTTTACAAAAACGGGATATATGTACTCCTCAGCATCATACTTTCCTCATTCAATATAGTATAGTCTCATTCAATATACCAGTAGATACACTTTATTCTTTCTTACGTCTGCAAAATATACCACAGTGTGGAATATTACATATGTTCCATAATTAATTCAATTATTTCCTGACTGGTAGATACTCAGTTTATTTTCAGCTTTTGACATTAAAAGTATATTCTGTGGCTGGGTGTGGTGGCACACACCTGTAATCCCAGCACTTTGGGAGGCCGAGGTGGGCAGATCACCTGAGGCCAAGAGTTTGAGACCAGCCTGGTCAACACGGTGAAACCTCGTCTCTACTAAAAATACACACAAAAAATTAGCTGGGCGTGGTGGCATGCACCTGCAGTCCCAGCGACTCAGGGAGGCTGAGGAGGAGAACTGATTGAACTCGGGAGGCAGAGGTTGCAGTGAGCCAAGATTGTGCCACTGCACTCCAGCCTGGGCGACAGAGGGAGAGATTCCATCTCAAAAAAAAAAAAAAAAAAAAAAGAAGAAGAAAAGGGTATATTTTGTTAGGCCAGGCACAGTGGCTCATGCCTGTAATCCCAGTACTTTGGGAGGCTGAGGCAGATGGATCAGTTGAGGTCAGGAGTTTGAGATCAGCCTGGCCAACATGGCAAAACCCCGTCTCTACTAAAAATACAAAAAATTAGCCAGGTGAGGTGGCGGGCGCCTGTAATCTCAGCTACTTGGGAGGCTGAGGCAGGAGAATTGCTTGAACCTGGGAGGCGGAGGTTGCAGTGCGCTCAGATAGTGCCGCTACACTCCAGCCTGGGCAATAAGAGCGAAACTACAAAACTGTCTCAAAAAAAAAGAAAAAAGAATATATTTTGTTCCTCTGACGTATTTGGCCTGATATGAAATAAAAGAATATATTTTGTTTAAATTTCAAGTGGGTGAGCCCTTGTACTTAGGATGCATGAAGCTTTAGTGTGGTTCTTGCTGGTCCATTCTTTGGTAAGGTGCACTGCCAGGCACTCAGACCGTGAGAGTCCTCAGGAAGACATGGAAGGGCAGGTAACATATGCGCAAGGTGAAATATTCAAACGCGATCCCAAGGTTTACAGTGAAAACCCCCTCCCATGACTGCCTCCACAGGCAATCACTACTATAAGGTTGATACGCCACTCTAGAAATGTTCCATGCATACATATGAAAGTAAAACATATGTATGCATATCCTTTTTTATTATAACATAAATGGGGCCGGGAGCGGTGGCTCACGCCTGTAATCCTAGCACTTTGGGAGGCTGAGGCAGGCGGATCATCTGAGGTTGGAAGTTCGAGATCAGCCTGACCAACATGGAGAAACTCCATCTCCACTAAAAATACAAAATTAGCCAGGCATGGTGGCACATGTCTGTGATCCCAGCTACTCAGGAAGGTTGAGGCAGGAGAATCGCTTGAACCTGGGAGGTGGAGGTTTCGGTGAGCCAAGATCGTGCCACTGCACTCTAGCCTGGTCAACAAGAGCGAAACTCGGTCTCCAAAAACAAACAAACAAACAAACAAACAACATAAATGGTAGTATGTTATACATTGTTTTTTTCCCTTGGGTAACTGATTATAAAAGAATACCCTTGTTAACAAGGGTGAGGGAGAGCTTCATAATGGCATAAAAAGATACTAGACTGGGCGCGGTGGCTCACGCCTGTAATCCCAGCACTTTGGGAGGCCGACGCAGGTGGATCACCTGAGGCCAGGAGTTCAAGACCAGCCTGGCCAATATGGTGAAACCCGGTCTCTACTAAAAATAAAAAAAAAAAATTAGCCAGGCATGATGGGGAACGCCTGTTATCCCTGCTACTCGGGAGGCTGAGGCAGAAGAATCGCTTGAACCGGGGAGGCGGAGGTTGCAGTGAGCCGAGATTGCACCACTGCACTCCAGCCTGGGCGACAGAGCGAGAATCCATCTCAAACAAAACAAAACAAAACAAACAAACAAATCTAAAACACTATGATTACAGAACAAGTCCAAGGGCAACTTATATAATACTATCCCATTTATATTTGACCAATGGTAAAGCAAAATAGACGATCAACAAATACCTGTAAGGCATTAAACAGTCTTCCTTTGAGGGGAGGAATGAGATTGACATGGAGGCAAGGGGACAGTGTGAATGGGGAAATTTCACCTGTACACTCTATTCTTCTGCAGAGCCAAATTCCTTAAACAATGAGAATAATGCACTGCTTCTGTATTTAAAAATAACTAAACAAAACAGAAAATCTCAAAGCAAAAACAAGAAAAGTGTTCTTTGCCAGAATTTTTTTTTTTTTTTTTTTTTGCTGCAGAGAAGAGCCTCATTACCCGTTCGGCAGGCGGGGGACACCACCCGATGTGCGCACATCCAACTCCGGCGCTCCCACCGCCTCCGCCGCCCGACCACCGGTGAGTGTGAAAGGAGCGGACACACCTAACCTGCCCTGCCCACACCACCGGGCCCAATCACACAGTCCAACCCGGATTTGCTCTTTCGGCTGAAACTCCCCACCCCCGCCCTCCCCTCCAGCCCCGGATTTGCTCTTTCGGCCGAAACTCCCCACCCCCGCCCTCCCCTCCAGCCCCACCACGCCCGGCCTCGGAGCCTCCGCTAGTCTTCGGCAATTTCCGTCCGGAGACCCGGCCCTCCGCTAGCCCCAAAGACCCGCCTTTGCCAGAATTTTATTAAAAATGTGACGTGGCTGGGCGCGGTGGGTCACGCCTGTAATCCCAGCACTTTGGGAGGCCGAGACGGGCCGATCACGGTCAGGAGTTCGAGATCAGCCTGGCCAATATGGTGAAACCCCGTCTCTAAAAACACAAAAATTAGCTGGGCATGGTGGGGCGCACCTGTAGTCCCAGCTACTCAGGAGGCTGAGGCAGAAGAATCGCTTGAACCCGGGAGGCGGAGGTTGCAGTGAGCCAAGACTGTGCCACTGGACTCCAGCCTGGGCGACAAAGCCAGATTCTGTCTCAAAAAAAAAAAAAAAAAAAAAAAAAAAAAAGTGACATACAACGCAGTACTTACTCCTTGCCACCATCAAGATCCTGCACATCCTTAAGGTAGAGGGAAAAATCTATTACTCCAACCTAAACGAAATAAAATGCACAAGTTTAAATAAAATGTCCTATTTTTCATAAACTTTACAACCTTTGAAATTCAGGTATTTCATTCTTATCTCTTTCCTATGAACATTTATTTAGGTCAGCCAGCTCTATGAAGTGGAAATCAATTGAACAAACCAAAAAAACCTAACCCTACCACCTTCTAGAAGAAAAACTTACTAGATATCAGATTTCAGAGACTATTCTGAAATTTCACGACCTAGTTTAGTTTTCTGTTTATTCAATAATCACATTATTTACAAAGATCAACAAAATTATTTGTGTACAAAGTAATTAATAATAATAATAAAAAGTTCTGGATCTCTAAAGTGGTGACCTGGCCAGGCGTGGTGGCTCACGCCTGTAATCCCAGCACTTTGGGAGGCCGAGGCTGGTGGATTGCCTGAGGTCAGGAGTTCGAAACCAGCCTGGCCAGCATGGTGAAACCCTGTCTCTACTAAAAACACAAAAATTAGCCAGGCATGGTGGCAGGTGCCTGTAATCCCAGCTAATCGGGAAGCTGAGGCAGGAGAATCGCTTGAACCTGGGAGGCGGAAGTTGCAGTGAGCTGAGATCGTGCCATTGCACTCCAACCTGGGCAACAGAGCGAGACTTCATCTCAAAATAAAATAAAATAAGATAAAAATAAAGTGGTGACCTTAACTGACATTTCTGAGTCCTTCTTCCCCCAAATCTTGGTAAAATGGTCTAATCAATATTTCAGGAAAATTCTCTATCCCTTAGGTACAAGGGAGAACCAAGACCCCTTACACATCTAAACATCAACGGCTTTGCCAAGAAATAAAGCACTTGAGAATGAATAAGTGAGGTCATTCTTATCTGAAATACAGGAAAACTGGGTGTACCCTAAATGTTCATCAATAGAGAAAAGTTGAAATCAATCATGTTACAGCCATATCACAGAACCTATGCAACTATAACAAAGAACGCAGTAGATACATTTGCAGAAATATAGAAAAGCTGGGCACGGTGGCTCATGCCTGTAATCTCAGCACTTTGGGAGTCTCAGGAGGGTGGATGGCTTGGGCTCAGGAGTTCAAGACCAGCCTGGGCAACACAGTGAGACCCTGTGTCCACAAAAATACAAACATTAGCTGGGTGCAGTGGTACATGCCTGTAGTCCCAGCTACTTGGGAGGCTGAGGTGAGAGGATTGCTTGAGCCCAGGAGGTTAAGGCTGCAGTGAGCTGAGATCATGCCACTGCACTCCAGCCTGGGTGACAGAGTCAGACACTGCCAAAACAAAACAAAAAAAACAACAAAACTCCAGGATACAATTTCAAGTCAAAGAATCATATGTACAATCTCATTATAGTAACCCTACTTATGTTGCAACCAAGGCTATGTGTAACGGTTCTAACACATGTCTGCAACCTCTCTGACACACCTACCAAAAGGAATCCATCCATATTTCCAACCTTCAACTCTGGGGGGTCTTAGTGCCTGTCTCGATGAGTAAAATGCAGTAGAAATGATGCCGTGTGACTTCTGCAGCTAGGTTAAAAAGGGCAATACAGCTTCCACCCAGCTCTTTCTCTTGAGGCATATGCGTTTGAAGTTCTGAGCTTTCATGTAAAAAGTCTTGACTTCCCTGAAGCCACAATGCTGGAGACCATGTAAACATGGAGATGTCCAAGAAACCCCTGCCATTCCAGCCCCCAGTTCCTTGGTCTTCTCAGCACAGCAGACAGACGAGGAGAGAGCAAGTCTTCAGGTGATTTCAGCCCCAGCCATCACCTGACTGTAAGCACGTGCGCTCTTGAACAAGAACCGACTAGCTGAACCCAGTTAGCCCCCAGCTGTGAAAGATACAGTGATTGTTATTGTTTAAGTGCTGTTGCTGACTTGTTACACAGTAATAGAAGACCAGAAAATATTTAATTTAAAACAAAACCTACGTGAACATAAATGTATAGAAAAAGTAGAAAAGCTTCTAGAAAAATTTTCCCCAGAATCTTTACCATCACCTGTGGGAAAGGGAGGAGGACTGCGGCTGGGGCGGGGGGTGGGGTGAGAAGAGGAGGTTCAACTTCTCTTTTCACATTATATACTTTGGTATTGCCTAACTTTTTTCAACAAGCAAGCATTTCTTTTATAATAAAAAACCAAATCATAAAAAAATACAGCCAGGAAAAAGCAACAGAAAGATGAGAAAGAATTAATACCCAAAGCAAAAATCAATGGATTAGAAAGCAAATAAAGCCCTACTCCCAAAGTAGAATTGATAAATAAGACAGCTGGTTTGTCAAAGTTCAACCAAGTAGACAAATTTCTACTAAGTGTGATCAATATTTAGCAAATACACATTATAAATGAGAACAGTGAGATTTTTCAAAAGCTGTAAGAGAATACTTTCATACAACTCTAGCTTAGTAGAGCTGAATGAAATGGTTTCTAAAAAAATTATAAATGACTTTAAAAATTGTCTTAAGACTTAGGAAACCAATAAATTGATCAAAACTATGCTAAAAGTTAAAGTGGTCAAAGAACAAAGACCAAAAAAGGCATAAGGGTGAAGTGGTCATACCAGTAAGTTCTAGCAAGCCTGCACAGAAAAAATAATTCCTGATCTAATAAGCTGCGGTAGAAAACAAGAAAAGGAAGGCTATTTTCCAGTTTATTTTATTTTTATGTTTATTTTTTTTGAGACGGAGTTTTGCTCTGTTGCCCAGAGTGGAGTGCAGTGGCACGGTCTCAGCTCACTGCAGCCTCTGCCTCCCAGGTTCCAGCGATTCTCCTGCCTCAGCCTCCTGGGTAACCGGGATTACAGGCACACGCCACCACGCCCAGCTAATTGTTGTATTTTTGGTAGAGACCAGGTTTCACCATGTTGGTCAGGGCGGTCTCAACCTCCTGACCTCATGATCTGTCCACTTCGGCCTCCCAAAGTGCTGGGAGTGTGAGCCACCACGCCCGGCCTTCCAGTTTATGAGGCTAATACAATTCTGACACGGAAAGGTGGCAAAGGCAGTATAGAAAATTCAGAATAGTTTCACTTACAAGCAGAGACACAAAAATTCCAAACAGTAAACATATCAAATCCAGGGTTTACAATGATCAGGTAGGGATTATTTTAGAAATTCAGGGATAGTATTCAATAAGAAACCTATGAATTAGTTCAATTATATTTATGGGTTAAAAGCAGGTTGACATGTTGATAGATCCAAAAAAAGTATCTGACAACATTCAACATTCATCTCTTAAAAAATCACAAAGTAGGCCGGGCACGGTGGCTCACGCCTGTAATCCCAGCACTTTGGGAGGCCAAAGTGGGCAGATCACGATGTCAGGAGTTCAAGACCAGCCTGGCCAACATAGTGAAACCCCATCTCTACTAAAAATACAAAAAATTAGCCGGGCATGGTGGCAGGCACCTGCAATCCCAACTACTCAGGAGGCTGAGGCAGGAGAATCACTTGAACCCAGGAGGCGGAGGTTGCAGTGAGTGGAGATTATGCCACTGCACTTCAACCTGGGCGACAGAGTAAGACTCCATCTCAAAAAAAAGAAAAAAACAAAACGACAACAACAACAAAACACAAGGTAAACTGGAGTGGAAAGCACTCTCTAAACGTGAGAAACCGCATCCCTCAGACATCAGCAGCAAACATGTATACTTTATGTATACTATTATGTATATGATTATGTATACTATAGTGTGTTTGAAGAACACACTATAGGCACTGCCATTCAAGATAGCACTAGACCAGATTGCTCACTCATGTCTATTAATTAATTAAAATCTCAATGGAGTTTTTATTCTGGAATTTGACAAAACGATGTTCAAGTTCATCTGGCAGAATGGATGGCCCAGAAATATTTGAAACAGAAGTACAGCAGAGTAGGCAGGCGCTTAACTACCAGAGTCTAGAATATACTATCTGGCTCCAGTCATTAAAAGAATGTGTCACTGGCATAGGAACACAGATTCAGATTTACAACAGAAGAGTCCAGAAATAAACCAATGCATATTATGGATATTTCACATATGATAAAAGTGGAATTTCAAATTAGTAGAAAAAATATATTACATGATGATATTGCAAAAACTGGTTAACTATTTGTAAAAGAAATTTAGATTCCTACTTCACACTATGCCAAAACAAATGGCAAAAATGTGTAAAATTTACACATTTTTTACACATAAAGTGTGTAAAAAATTACCCAGGTAGAAGCAGAAGGTCTTGGCCTGGCCCTCCAGGGTCCCAGACTGTGGAGATTGGAGGGGCAGGTCTGGCCTTTCCTGGGTTAGCACAGGGTACCCAGTAGGGGCACAAGCTCACTATCCATCGGCCAGCCTAGTTGTGTTTGAAGAAGTATTCCTTGTCATCCACATTGGGCTTCATTGTCGCTACCAGGCTTCCAGCCAGTGGGACAAACTTTCCCGTGCTCATCTGCGTACTGGAATGCCTGGACCAGCTGCAGAGCCTCATCCATGGAGCACCCCAGAGGCAAATCATTAACAGTGATCTGGCAAAAGTCACCCTTGCCATCGATGATAAAGAGGCAGGGTAGGCAATGCCCTCATTGGTTTTCAGCACACAGTAATCTTCAGACAAGCTTCCCGTCACATCAGCGGGTGGGGGATGCTCGGGGGCCTAAGCCTCCCTACTTCTGGGGGTTGTTGATCCAAGCCAGGTGGGTGAACTAAGTCCACCCAGACACCCAGCACTTCGCAGCCCAGCTTGCGGAAATCCTCGGCATGGTCGCTGAATGCGACGTTCTCCATGGGCCACAGAAAAGTGAAGTCCAGAGGGTAGAAAAAGAGGACGACGTACTTCCCTTTGTAGCCCACAGCTTCACCTCCTGGAAGGCGCCATCCACCAGGGCAATGGCCTTGAAGTCAGGGGCTGGCTTTCCGAGCTGCGACTGACTGGAAGCCATGACTGAAAGCTGTGGCGGTAAAGGCTGGACAGACTGACAACCAGACGCGTGGACTCAGGTTCCAGCTCCCCACATTTGATATTAAAAGTTAGGGTAATGTTTAGATAGGGAAGGACCTTCAAAGCACAATACCTTAGAAGGTATAAAGGAAACATCTGCTAAATCTGGTTGCCAAAAACTAAAAATAAAAAACTTACAGGGCAAACCACCACTGAGAAACCAGAAAAAAAATTTATAACAAATAATTCTGAAAAAGGGTCAATGTGCTTAGTCTTTAATAAAGAAGTAGAGAAAGAAAACTCAAAAATGGACAAAGAATATGAAAAGATAATCACAAATGCTGAACCACCAATGGCAAATAAAACAGGAAAATACTTGTAAATTTGAGATAATGAGTTGTTTTGTCCATGAGGCTGAAAAAGACTGAGAATGCTCATCACATCCAGTGTCAGGAGGAAATGTGTTCTCTCCCACACTGCTGGTGGGTGTATATAATGAAGACCTTTCTGGAGGTCCGTTTTATGTTATCTAGCAAAATGTAGCCTGTATACTTTGACACAACAACCCCAAATTTATCCTAAGGAAATACACGGACAAGAGTACAGAGAACTTCAAGGATGTCTATAATATTGGTGTTTTTTTTTTTTTTTTCCAGACAGAGTCTGGCTCTGTTGCCCAGACTGGAGTGCAATGCAGTGGCATGATTAGAGCTCACTGCAGCCTTGATCTCCCAGGCTCAAGCAATCCTCCCACCTCAGCCTCCAGAGTAGCTGGGATGACAGACAGCATGCCACCATGCTCGGCTAATTTTTTTAAATTTTTGGTAGAGACAAGGTCTCACTATTTTGCCCGGGCTGGTCTCAAATTCCTGGGCTCCAGTGATCCTCCTACCTTGGCCTCCCAAAGTGTTGGAATTACAGGCGTGAGCCATGTGCCCAGCAATAGTATTGTCACAATATGGAAACAATCTAAATTAATAAGGTACTGGTTACATAATTGTACGTTAAAAAATGAAATACTACATAGTCATTTTAAATGGTTTATATCTCTCGTTATTGAGAACTGTGTGGAACATATTGTTAAATTTTTTAAAATTACAAAATGGTGTGCTTAAAATAATCATAGTTTGGTTTCATAAAAAAAGAAACCCTTCGAACATCTCACTCTAAAATACACAAACATATACACACACACATGCATGCACACACCTTTATTCATCTGCTAGAAGGGTGTATACCAGAATGTAACACTGAATTATCGGTCTAAGAGTAATGAGAATATGTGTGATGTTTAGTGTCTTTTCAAAAATACTTCTCTGAATTCAAAAAAAGATATTTTTCAACATGCAAAGACAATCGAACTTTTTTTTTTTTTAAAGGGAGGAGAGGTTATAAAAAAACACTGACCTGCACATGGAGGGATCAGGGAATCTTTAGATTCACCAAACACAATGCAGGAAAAAGGCTGGGAATTTTGCTAGGTAGTGTAAAATAATCTCTTTTTTCTGGGCAGTGGCCCAGCTACAGCTGCGGATGCCCCGAAGAGGGGGTGGAAGTGAGGAATGGGTTAGGGTACCTATTCCCCTCACACATTTACAGTCCCTGCCACCAGGAGTTTAGGCCTTGGCTCTGGTCACCAGCTCCTATGCAGGAAGAAAGCCCATCCCAAGAGGGCTGTCCTTCCCACAGAGCACTCTACACCTTACTGGTTACTCTCCTTTGTGCCATTTTATCAACCTGACTTCCCAAATCTCTCCTGACTCTATCTTCCTACTCCCCATCCAGGCTTGCAGGACTTCTAGACTAGTCTCCTCAAGGCTTTTGCTGTATCTATTCTTGGCCACTTCCAACTCATAACCTGAATGGCTGCTAGATTGAGCTTTCTCAAATCCAGGCATGATCATTTCAGTGTACTTTTTAAAAACCTCCAACAGCTCCCCAAAGCTCAGGATAAAAGGGGATAAAAGCTATACCCTTCAGGCAAGGCACAGTGGCTCACACCTGTAATCCCAGCACTTTGGGAGGCCGAGGCGGGTGGATCACGAGGTCAGGAGATTGAGACCATCCTGGCTAACATGGTGAAACACCATCTCTACTAAAAAAAAAAAATACAGGCCGGGCGCAGTGGCTCACGCCTGTAATCCCAGCACTTTGGGAGGCCGAGGTGGGCGGATCACGAGGTCAGGAGATCGAAACCATCCTGGCTAACACGGTGAAACCCCGTCTCTATTAAAAATACAAAAAATTAGCTGGGCGTGGTGGCGGGCACCTGTGGTCCCAGCTACTCGGGAGGCTGAGGCAGGAGAATGGTGTGAACCCGGGAGGCGGAGGTTGCAGGGAGCCGAGATCGCGCCACTGCACTCCAGCCTGGGAGACACAACGAGACTCCGTCTCAAAAAAAACAACAACAAAAAAGCTACACCCTTCAGCATAGCACCAATGGCCTAACTATCAGGCCCAGCCTCCACTTTCACCTCGCCCACAGAGCATCCTCTACTCCAGCCATGGAGAGCTGTCTGCCTGTTCCCAAACCTGCCAAGCTTTCCGTGTGTACCTCTGGCTATGCAACTTCTTCACCCTTCCGAGACCTTCCCCAGCTGCATCCCTGGGGTCCTCTACCAGTGGGCTCTTTGCCATTTGCCCTTCTTTGGGTTCAGTACCTGTTTGCAGATCCTATGTAAAGTCCCTGGACTAACGAAAGTGTTCATCTAGAGCCAAAATTTCATTTTACCTGAGAATCCAAGTCTTCTCCTTTCAAGCAGAGATTGGCATCGAGAACATTGAGTCCCACCAGCAGACCAACAATCACCATCCCTTCTTCCTCCATCATTAAAGCCTCAGGCTCATAGAACTCGCTGAAAGAGATGGACAGGACAGGGCGATGCTCAGAAACAGCTTCACCATCCCCACTCCTTCCCCACCCTGAACTGCCTTTTCACCTGTGCCCTGGAGCCAGAAGATACTGCTGTGGATTTCCTCCCTCCCTTTCATTTCTCTTCACTGCTTCAACGGCTGCTTTTTCTCCCGTCCTCTCCTCTCTTCCTGTGGCTTAGAATGGGCTCGCCTCTCCTCCTGTCTAAAGTTAACTCCTCCATGCAGACCCTGGACCCCAGTTCTCCTCGTCTCCTCTTGACTCCTGTCACTCTCCCCTCCTGTGTCTCCACTGGCTCCTGTTCTGTGTTGATATGAATTACTTCTCCACTTATGCTGATATAAACAGGAAATGGGATCCCACATCCAAGAATAACACTCCTCCTTCTTGCGTCCCACGGAGCAACATCTGTTGCTTTACTTCCTTTATTGCCCAGTTATCGCGGCCATTTGCAGGGGGTGGTCCATCCCCTGCCTGATATTGCTCTGGTCAGCAATGACTTGCTAATGTACCAAATCCAGTGGCATCCAGGCCACTGTGTGTGTGTGCGTATAAGACTTTTCTCTTAAGAATTAGTTCATTAGTAAAGTGAGGGATATGGTAATTACCCTGATTTCATCATTACATAGTGTATACATGCATAGTATCCCATAAATATGTATAATTTTGTATCGATTATAAATAAAAAATTGAAAAATACTTTGTTCATTAGAAGAAAATCTGTAACTCAAAGTTACTCAGTGTAACTACTCAGAGTATGTGAAATATTGTAAATCAGTATTTGTCGTGTAAAGATATGTTCGACAATGAGCCATGACTTGAAAACACTGAAAGGCTTGGGTTTTAGGCTATGCTGTAAAATGTATCTATTTCTCAATTACAAGAAAGCTTTAACTCTGGAAAGAGTCCTTCCTCGTAAATCATCACAGTCTAGAGAACATTCCTTTTATAATGATTATTGCTTACTTATAAATATAAAAAATGAACCAGTCATAAATTTCTGTAAATATTATATACTTATTTTTTTATTTTTTATTTTGAGACAGAGTCTTGCTCTGTTGCCCAGGCTGGAGGTACAGTGGTGTGATCTTGGCTCACTGCAACCTCTGCTTTCCTGGGTTCAAGCAATCCTCCTGCCTCAGCGTCCTGAGTAGCTGGGATTATAGGCATATGCCACCATGCCCAGCTAATTTAGTATTTTTAGCAGAGATGGGGTTTTACCATGTTGTCCAGGTTGTTTTTGAACTTCTGACCTCAAGTGATCAGCCTGCCTTGGCCTCCCAAAGTGCTGGGATTACAGGCATGAGCCACCACACCTGGCTGATACACTTATTTTAATTCAAAATGATCTACAGAACTATGTTCTAATTATTATTTTTTTGAGAAGGAGTCTCACTCTGTCGCCCAGGCTGGAGTGCAGTGGCGTGATCTCGGCTCACTGCAACCTCCGCCTCGCGGGTTCGAGCGATTCTCCTGCCTCAGCCTTCTGAGTAGCTGGGATTACAGGCACCTGCCACCACACCTGGCTAATTTTCGTATTTTTAGTCTCTACTAAAAATACGACACCATGTTGGCCAGGCTGGTCTTGAACTCCGGACCTCAAGCAATCCACCTGATCTTGGCCTCCCAAAGTGCTGGGATTACAGGTGTGAGCCACCGCACCCAGCCTATGTTCTAATTATTTACCAAGCAAAAGATAAGCAAACATGGTTGATGAAATACCTTAAGAGATGTTTATTGTCTATAAGCACTTTCAGATAATCTGCCAGTTTCTTTTGCATGAGTGCAAGATAAAGCCACGCTCGGCCTCTTCCCACAGCTGTCCTAGAATTCAAACAGAGAATCAACTATTGTGGCATAACAACAACAAACACAGAAAAGACACCTGATTTAGCCAGGGAGACACATAGGAAACACACCCTTGTAAATGCAGACGATACTCTAAGAATGGCTGTTTGGGGTTGGGGAGGGATGCACATGGCCTGGGCAGGCAGCGAAAATGGCTCACCACATACCTTTGAGTACTATTACAAATACAATTAGATAATGCTTTGCTTATAGTCATAAAATATCACAGGAAAATATCAGGTTAGATTTGTGTAATGGATAAACATTCCTTCAAAAGACGAATAGAGAACTTAGTGCTTGTTAAAGTGCTGAAGCTTATAAAATCTCTAAGGGGTTAGGGTTAGCTCAAACGTACTTTTTATTTTTTATTTTTTATTTTTTTTTGAGATAGAGTCTTGCCTGTTGCCCAGGCTGGAGTGCAGTGGTGCAATCTCAGCTCATTGCAACCTCCGCCTCCTGGGTTCAAGCGATTCTCATGGCTCAGCCTCCTGAGTAGCTGGGATTACAGGCATGCATCACCACACCTGGCTAATTTTTGTTTTTAGTAGAGACAGGGTTTTGCCATGTTAGCCAAGCTGGTCTCAAATTCCTGGCCTCAAGTGATCAGGCTGCCTTGGCCTCGCAAAGTGCTGGGATTACAGGCATGAGCCACTGCACCTGGCCTTAAAGGTATAATTTTATGTTTTATTATTAATTGTGGTAAGATACACAGAACATAAAATTTACCATGTTAACCATTTTTAATCTTACAGTTAAGTAGTGTTAAGTACATTCACAATGTTGTGGAACCAATCTTTTTTTTTTTTTTTTTCGAGATGGAGCCTCACTCTGTCACCCAGGTTAGAGTGCAGTGGCACAATCTTGGCTCACCGTTGTGATCTTGGCTCACTGCATCCTCCACCTCGCAGGTTCAAGTGATTCTCCTGCCTCAGCCTCCCGAGTAGCTGGGATTACAGGCACCTGCCACCACGCCCAGCTAATTTTTGTATTTTTAGTAGAGATGGGGTTTCCACCATGTTGGCCAGGCTAGTCTCAAACTCTTGACCTCAAGTAATCCACCCACCTTGGCCTCCTAAAGTGCTGGGATTACAGGCCTGGCCCCAATCTTGAAGGTGTAATTTTTCTGTATTCTAGCATTATCTCCAGAGAAGCAGAAAAGAAAGAAAAGAAGAGAAAAGAAAAGAAAAAAGGAAAAGGAAAGAAAGAAAGAACAGGCCTGCATTAAACATTAAAAGAAAAAAGGCCTCTCAAGTGCTGCTTGGTGAGACTGTAAACTTCACAACTTTCTTTTTTTTTTTGGAGACAGGGTCTTGCTCAGTCGCCCATGCTGTTGAATGGCATGATGATGGCTCCCTGCAGCCTGGAACTCCCAGGCTCAAGTGATAACCCTGCGTTAAGCCTCCGGAGTAGCTGGGACAGCAGGCACGTGCTACCACACCCAACTAATTTTTTTTTTTTGTAGAGATGGGGTTTTGCCACATTGTCCAGGCTGGTTTCAAACTCCTGGGCTCAAGCATTCTTCCCATCTCAGCCTCTCAAAGTGTTGGGATTATAGGCGTGAGCTGCTGTGCCTGGCCAACTGTGCAACTTTCTAGTGGCAATTTGATGACAACAGGTTACCAAAATTCTACATTTAGTAATATATCCTAGGGAAATAACTGAAGACGGACACAAAGAAGTATGTTTCGGGATGGTCACCTCATCATTATCACGGTTTGTGGTAACAAGAATTTGAAGACAGCCACAAGGCGGGGTTAAACAAAATTAGACAGACAACAGAATATTATTTGGCCATTTAAAAAATGATATTGTAAATGAATATTCGATACACAAAGAGATTTAAAATCTAATATTAAGTGGAATAAATGGAAAAAAGGCTACAAAACAGTATATGCACTTTAATGCTGAATTTTTTTTGAATGGGCAATATCTTCACTTGGTTTAAAACCTAGAAAGTAGGCCAGGTGTGGTGGCTCACACCTGTAATCCCAGCACTTTGGGAGGCCAAGTGGGGTGGATCACCTGAGGTCAAGAGTTTGAGACTAGCCTGGCCAACACGTTAAACTCCCATCTCAACTAAAAATGCAAAAAATAGCTGGGTGTGGTGGCTCATGCCTATAATCCCAGCTACTCAGGAAGCTGAGGCATGAGAATGGCTTGAACCCGGGAGGCAGAGGCTGCAGTGAGTCGAGATTGTGCCACTGCACTCCAGCCTGGGCTGGGCGATAGAGTGAGACTCTGTCTCAAAAAAAAAAAAAAAAAAAAAAAAAAAGAAAACCTAGAAAGTATTAAAAGGCATATACTTGTCTCCTTGTCCTCCACCTTCCCATCCCCCTCCCCTATACACTAATATAGTGTCCTCTGTTTAAGTTCATTTCCGAAACATGTTTCTACACATGAAAACAGGTACCAAATATAAATTATTTTTCTCTCTCTTTTTACAAAAAAATTTAACATATTTTACATGCAGTTCTCAACCTGATTATTTCGCTGAGTATCTGTCATCTTGAAAATCTTTCCATATCAGTACACAGAGGACTTTACTTTTTTTATAGCTTTAGTGTGTCATTATTGGACAGCACCATAATTTATTTAGCTGGGTTAAAAAAAACTAGGGTGGTTCTAATCTCCTGTTACCAATAACGACTGCAATAGATCATTCTGTACATGTGTCATTTTCATGTGTTACATGTGTAGGATAAAATGTATGTAAGGGGAATTGCTGGGTCAAAGTGCAGATGATTTTTTTTTCTTTTTTTTTTTGAGATGGAGTCTCACTTCACTCTGTCATCCAGGCAGGAGTGGTGGCGTGATCTCTGCTCACTGCAACCTCCACCTCCTGGGTTCAGGCAATTCTCCTGCCTCAGCCTATAGTCCCAGCTATTTGGGAGGCTGAGGTGGGAAAGATCACTTGAGCCTGGGAGGTGGAGCTTACAGTGAGCTGAGAGACTGCACCACCACTGCACTCCAGCCTAGGCGACAGAGAGACTGTCTTAAAAAAAAAAAAAAAAAAAAACAGCCAGGCACAGTGGTTCACACCTATAATCCCAGCACTTTGGGAGGCTGAGGCAGATGGATCACCTGAGGTCAGGAGTTGGAGACCAGCCTGGCCAATGTGGTGAAACCCCATCTCTACTAAAGATACAAAAATTACCTGGGCCTGGTGGCAGGCACCTGTAATCCCAGCTACTTGGGAGGCAGAGGCAGGAGAATCGCTGGAACCCAGGGGGTGGAGGTAGCAGTGAGCCGAGATCACGCCACTGCATTCCAGCCTGGGCAACAAGAGCGAAACTCTATCTCAAAAAAAAAAAAAAAAAGAAAACATCAGGACGCCGTCTGTGTAGGTGCTTTACTCTTGAGGGAGTGAGTGAGCTGGACAGGAAGGGTATGAGAAATTGTACCATATAAAGAACAACTGAAGACGCAGGGCAGTAGACTTGAGAGGCTCATGAAAAAGGTCATTAAGGCCGGGTGTGGTGGCTCACGCCTGTAATCCCAGCACTTTGGAAGACCGAGGCAGGTGGATTACCTGTGGTCAGGAGTTTGAGACTAGCCTGGCCAACATGGCAACACCCTGTCTCTACAAAAAATACAAAAATTAACTGGGTGTGGTGGCACGTGCCTGTAATCCCAGCTACTCAGGAGGCTGAGGCATGAGAATCGCTTGAACCTAGGAAGCGGAGGTTGCAGAGAGCTGAGATTGTGCCACTGCACTCCAGCCTGGGCAAGAGTGAGACTCCTTCTCAAAAAAAAAAAGGTCATGAAATAAACATTTGAAAGCTTGGCAGGTGCAAAAGGCTTTAAATATAAGCGATGTAGGCCGGGCAGGCAGAATTTGCATAGAGGGCTTAAATCTAATCTTGAGAAGAATGCACAGGGCTTGGCAGCAATGGAGTTTCATGGGATTTGGAGGGCTTCAAGGCATAACAGACCTGTGTCCTCTTCCTGCTCCATCACTCACCTGCCAAGGCACCTCGGGCAAGTTACTCAACCACTCTAAGTCTCAGTTCCCACACTTGTAGATGAGGACACTAACAGCTATCCTAGAGGATGGCTGTGGAGGATTAAATGAGATAAATGAGAAGGAATGTTCTCAGCACAATGCCTGTCATTGAGCAGGTCCTGAGGGCAGTGGCTATTATTATTATTATCTGAAAATGGAATAGGCAGGCTCCCTAGGAGAAGGGTCAAATAAACGCTCAACAGTCCAGTCCCGTCTGGGAAACTCTGCAGAGGGTTCTTTTGCATTGGCTCAAGGATCCCTAAGACCCTTTCTAGATGCCAAATTCCATGAAGATGACTTATTTGTGTTCTGGACTGTTTTTGATTTTGAGCCTAAGCATAGCGATCCCAAGGACAAATCCAGACATGGCAAATAATTCGTTAGTCCCACCCTAACAAATTACAAATGTCCTTGGGCCTGGAATCTACAATCTGGCCCAAAATGTATTATTCAGAAAACTGCCCACCTGTGTCTGAAGCAGTGATTCCAGGAGTGTACCAGTAGTTCCTTTTCCTCCTGTGAGTGCCCTTTGGTTGACAACACCTTTTCAACCTATTTGGCCTGTGTGGCAAGCAGGAATCACTGTCCCCATTTTAAAGAAAAGGAAACTGAGGCTCAGAGAGAGTCAAGTCTTGCTAGAGATCATGTGGATAATGAGCAGCAGAGCTCTTTCCAATTAGAAAGGGCTTCATCAGCAAGGAATTGAGAAATGAGTAAATATGAGGGAGTTTTTAAAATCATCAAATTGGCAGAACTACTTCTCACTCACTTTAATTCTGGAAGATTTCTGACACTAGTCGCTATATCTGATGCTTCTGGACAAAGTTTCTCCACCAGCTCCAAAGGACCAAAGAATGATTTATTTTGGCCAATAAAACTCTTCTTAACTAAAAGGAAAAACAAAAGTGTTATTCATAAGAACAGGTTGCAAAATTTCTTCAGGGACCCACAGCCTCTCCCCACAAAAGCCAAGTGGAAGTGAAAGCTGCTAAACTTCACTGCTTAATCCTTTTTTAAAAATCTTTTTTGAGATGGAGTCTTACTCTACTGCCCAGGCTAGAGTGCAGTGTGCAATCTCAGCTCACTACAACCTCTGCCTCCCGGGTTCAAGCAATTCTCTGCCTCAGCCTCCTGAGTAGCTGGGGTTACAGGTGCCCACAACGCCGGGCTAATTTTGTATTTTTAGTAGAGACGGGGTTTCACCATGTTGGCCAGGCTGGTCTTGAACTCCTGACCTTGTGATCTGCCCGCCTCGGCCTCCCAAAGTGCTGGGATAACAGGCGTGAGCCACAGCGCCCGGCCTGCTTAATCCTTCTTGATTTACTCTTGGGGACTGGGAGAGGCCATGTAATAAATTAGTCTCTCTTTCTCTGGCAACAGAGTTTCTCTGATATGCTTACTGTGCTCTTTCTGGAAGTATGTATTGCCCATAGAATAAAACAGGCGCCTCAGCCGGGCACAGTGGCTCACACCTGTAATCCCAGCACTTTGGGAGGCCGAGACGGGTGGATCACGAGGTCAGGAGATCGAGACCATCCTGGCTAACACGGTGAAACTCCGTCTCTACTAAAAATAAAAAAAAAATTAGCCGAGAGTGGTGGTGGGCGTCTGTAGTCCCAGCTACTCGGGAGGCTGAGGCAGGAGAATGGCGTGAACCTGGGAGGAGGAGCTTGCAGTGAGCCGAGATTGCACCACTGCACTCCAGCCTGGGGGACAGAGCGAGACTCTTCAAAAAAAAAAAAAAAAAAAAAAAAAGAAAGAAAAAAACAGTTGCCTTATAGGCTCATCTACTATGAAATTCTTCCCCCTTTTTTTCCTTGATGGCAAAATCAAGGATTTATTTTTTTTTGTTTTTTTCAGATCCTCATCATCTGTACTGCTGTAATTGGTCTTCCTGCTCCTAATACTGTCACCTCCCCACCATTACAATCTGTTCTCTACATAGCTAGAAATTCTTTTAAGAACTGAAGTTAGGACACATTTCTCCCTTTAGGATCTTCCAAAGACACTAAGAATAAAATGCAACTCCTCATCTGACCTTTAAGGACATATATGGTCCAGCCTCTCCCTACTCCCCTGACCTCATGTCCTCCCCTCCTCTCCCTCAGCACACTTAGCACACCTGTTACCTGGAGTCTTTCTCAAGCTGAGGAAGGTTGGTCCCACTCAGAACCTTTGCATCTGTTTTAATTAATTAATTAATTTATTTATTTATTTATTTTTGAGATGGAATCTCACCCTGTAGCCTTGGTTGGAGTGCAATGGTGCAATCTCAGCTCACTGCAACCTCCGCCTCCTGGGTTCAAGAGATTCTCCTGCCTCAGCCACTCGAGTAGCTGGGATTACAGGCATGCGCCACCACGCCCGGCTAATTTTTGTGTTGTTAGCAGAGGCAGGGTTTCACCATGTTGGCCAGGGTGGTCTCCAGCTCCTGAGCTCAAGCGATCCTTCCGTCTCGGCCTCCCAAGGTGCTGGGATTACAAGGCGTGAGCCACCGCGCCTGGCCTAATAAGGCTTTTAAATATTGAATATGTGTTGAATGATATTTTGGATATACGGGTTCCATGAAATATATTATTAACACTAATTTTAAAACATTTTAGCAAATTAGGTTAACTTTTTTTTCTTAATTTTTAAAAGTTTTATCCCCACAGAAAGGCATCTCATCTAACACTTTTTTTTCTTTTTTCTTTTTTTTTTTTTTTTTTGAGACGGAGTCTTGCTCTGTTGCCCAAGCTGGAGTGCAGTGGCGCGATCTCAGCTCACTGCAACCTCCGCCTCCCGGGATCACGCCATTCTCCTGCCTCAGCCTCCCGAGTAGCTGGGACTACAGGCGCCCGCTACCACGCCCAGCTAATTTTTTGTATTTTTTTTTTTTAGTAGAGACCGGGTTTCACCGTGTTAGCCAGGATGGTCTCGATATCCTGACCTCGTGATCCGCCCGCCTTGGCCTCCCAAAGTGCTGGGATTACAGGCGTGAGCCACCGCGCCCAGCCTCATCTAACGCTTTTAAAGTAACCTGGCTACCAGAAACTTTAAAATTGCCTATATAGCTTGCATGCTATTTCTATTGGCCAGCGCTGCTCTAGGACGTCGCTTCTGAATACAGGAACCTTGCCTGTTCTGTACACTGCTGGCATTTCAGCATCTAGAAGGATGTCTGGCGCTGATGAAAAAATGCTGAGCAAACACCCAGCCCGAACTTCCACGCTCCCAAACGCCCCCTCAGGCTCACCTTTCAGCCCATGTTTGAGGCAGTGCTCCATCACTACAAAGAACTGCTGCAAGGGGGCATGGTCCGCATCCAGGCTGCGGCCCAGGCTCAGAGCCGACTGGAGCAACACCTTGATGCTGAGTTTCATCATGTGCATCAGGTTGGCACGCTCCTCCATCATCTGGCACTTAGAAGCTGTGGGGCAGGAGCAGGGATAGCTTCGTTAGTGGACTGAGCGTGGGGAGGTCAGACTCCGGGCAACGGTGAGAAGACGGGTCAGGCAGGAGGCCAGGCGGTCTGCTTAGGGAACGGACGTGCTGGCGGGCGGGCAACCGGGATTCGCAGGTAAGTAGTCCCTGATCCCTAGAGGCCACAGCCCCCTACCTGGACGGCGGGGCCTTGGGTCAGAAGAGCCACTGGGCCTCCTGCTCCAGAGGCCTCTCCCAGACGGCTCCGCGCGTTGCTACGGCGACGGCTTTAGCAAGACTCGCCGCGTTTGGCTTCTCCCGCAACCCCGGTTCCATTTTTGACCAATGGAAGGGCGCTACCTACAGGAAGCCCTGCCCCAAGCTCTTAGAGGGCGTGCTGGGAAAGCGTCCCGCCCCCAAACATTCCTATTGGGCGAGTCCAGCTCAAGGCCTCTCCTACGGAGCTGGTGGGCGCCATTTTGCACCCTCTGTCCCGGACGGAGGAGGATGCGCACCCCGCCCAGAAGGCTTTTCCAGCCTTCTCTCTTGCCGGATAGTGCCAGCCGGGTGCCTGCAGGGAAGCATCTTCCCCTCAGCTCCAGGCTCAAATTCTTGTTGCCGATCTTTCGTCCGCTACTAGTGGACAATTTTAGGTTTTACGCACACTTTGTTTTTTGGTAAGGAAAACCGTTGGAGTCAAATGAATTCAGAGAGTTCCATTTCAACTCCCATTATCTTGTCGCATTGCCTTGAGGGTGTAATAAAGACTGTGTGCAATTATCATCAGATATCTATACGTGCTGGCCAAATGCTCTCTGAAACCCAGTAAGCTGGTATCCTAGAAACTAAAAGTTTAGATCCCAAAGTAAGAGTCCTGGCAGGAAAGTCCCAGGTGCGAAGCGCGGCCCTCACCCGGGCGCGCGCGCGCGTTTACATTGTCTTGGAAATATTTGCCAATTGGAATGGGGGCGGGGGATCGTATTGTTTTTGGTTTGCAGCTGTCCAATTACTACTGAGGTTAAATAACTTCTGTTTATTCTCTGCTAGTATTTCTTCTGTGAATTGCTTGCTCAATTGACTTTCGTGTTGAATTGCTTGCCTTTGTCTTACTGACCTGTATATTTTGGATACTAATCCTTTACCTGTTTTATTTCACCAGCATTGATTAATATGGACAATTAAAGAGCATATTTATACGTACTATATTTTTATATAGTTAATTACAGTTAAATCTGAACGATAATATTATGGCCGTGAACTTGTAGTAAAGGTCTTAAATAAATACTGAGACATCCTGGGACTAAAAATTCAAAATTATCTCAGCAAAACCCAAGAAGGTAGGGGGAGAGCTGCTGGGCAAGAAGAAACAGCCTAAGCATTTCACCTTGGTTGTGGAGAGGGTTAAAAGTGGCTTAAGTAAAGCATTTCGTTGGGGGTGGTATAATTTTTTTTTTTTTTTGAGATGTTGTTTCACTCTTGTTGCCCAAGCTGGAGTGCAATGGCGCCATCTCGGCTCACTGCAACCTTCGCCTCCTGAGCTCAAGCAATTCTCTTGTTTCAGACTCCCGAGTAGCTGGGATTACAGGCATGCGCCACCACGCCTGGCTAATTTTGTATTTTTAGTAGAGACGGGGTTTCTCCATTTTGGTCAGGCTGGTCTCGAACTTCCAACCTCAGGTGATCCGCCCGCCTTGGCATCCCAAAGTGCTAGGATTACAGGCGTGAGCCACCATGTCTGGCCAGTATAATTATTTTTATATTTCGAGAGAAGCCTATGTATTATATTTATAAATTTTAAAACTGTAATGGATGATTGGCAAAGGAAATAAAACTTGTAAAACTTCATCAAGAGAAGGGAGAAACTCTGAAGACAGCAATAACCATAAAAGCAATTTGTAAAGATTTATCTTTAAAGAAGACACCAAGCCCAGTTCTATCATCTAGTGGTCTTGAAATTGGAATACATATACAGCAGTCTTGCCAAAGCTAGGTATGCCCAGATGTTTTAAGGAACTCAATTTCCAGATTTTCAAGTTTCACAGGCACTCTTTCTCCTCCCTCTAAAGAAGGGCAACTCACTCCATAACCTGTCTTCCTCTTGATACGGTGACCTGGGGTGCCCTAGGTTCCATACACCAAATGGAGGTGGTGTCGCCCTTGATGATTAAGTAATCAAAAACATGAAGACCAGCCTTTTACTGCTTTATGGTATTCAGTTAAGCTTGGTCTTGGGGCAGAGGGGTGGTCTCTAACCCTCTGCTTGGGTGTCCTAAATTTAGAAAATTAAATTTTTCTCCCTACAAATCTATGTAATTATGTTCAACCAGTCAATATTCACAACCCTAAGATGTGCCATTAGCTTGATGGCCATTTTCCGTAAATTAAATGAGCCCAAACTGCAGCTAAGTATTTGATGAAAATGGATTTGAAATACATGATAAACTAAAAGTATTTTTGTCAAAAAGTACTGTATTGGCAAAGGTGAATGAAATAAGCAATACTCAGATGTCTCCAACCATTCTGAGTATTCTGGGTTAAACAAAGTGCCTAAGTGAAAGAATAAGAAGTGAAATTATCCCTTGATAAGTCTTTTTTTCTTTTGAGATGGAGTTTTGCTCTTGTTGTCCAGGCTGGAGTGCAATGGCACGATCTTGGCTCACTGCAACCTCCGCCTCCTGGGTTCAAGAGATTCTCCTGCCTCAGCCTCCCCAGTAGCTGGGATTACAGGTGCCCGCCACCATGCCCAGGTAATTTTTTGTATTTTTAGTAGAGACGGGGTTTTACTATGTTGGCCAGGCTGGTCTCGAACTCCTGACCTCAGGCCATCCACCTGCCTCAGCCTCTCAAAGTGCTGGGATTACAGGCATGAGCCACCGTGCCTGGCTCACACTTGATAAGTCTTGGTAAAACTTTTGTTTTGGTAACTCCCAACAGTTGAGAAATTTTCTTAATATGATTAGGTTGCAGGTCAGGTAATTTTCAATTATTTGCTTTGAATGAAAATAAGGGAACAAAAAATAATTTTTGGCTTTAGATCAGTGTGATTTGGGGCATATAACTTGGAAAGAGTTCAAAGATGACCAACATTACTAAAACAAACAAACAAAAAACAGGACTAAAACTGATGCTGAATTCTATCACGCTTTAGCAGTAAATCATATATATTCATCTACAGATATATGCTAATGACAAAAACCAACACCATTCATCTCATTTAGAGATGCAATTCATTGGCTGGGCGTGGTGGCTCACGCCTGTAATCCCAGCACTTTGGGAGGCTGAGGCAGGCAGATCACCTGAGGTCAGGAGTTCGAGATCAGCCTGGCCAACATGGTAAAACCCGTCTCTACTAAAAATACAAAACTTAGCTGGGCGTGCTGGCGTGCACCTGTAGTCCCAGCTACTGGGGAGGCTGAGGTGGGAGGATCACTTGAACTCGGGAGGCGGAGGTTGCAGTGAGCCGAGATTGCGCCACTGCATTCCAGGCTGGGCAACAGAGTGAGACCCTTCTCAAAAAAAAAAAACGCAATTCAAGAAAAATTTATGTATAATTCTTTATAAAAATTATATTTATGTTCCTGTTACCAATGTAGCATTACTAATAAACTTAATGATAATTCACTCCAGAAGAAAAATTTTTATACACTTAGAGCTTCAGTCACAATAAAAATTTATTAAACTTTAACTTATTTACATACTTTTTGCTGAGACTTATAAGATGACCAATAACACTTTTAAAAACATACAAATCTATTACATTAATTCTATGGCAGAAGTGGAATGGAAATCCAAGTTCAATGAATAAAAGGGAAAATGTAAAATTTTCAAATATTAAATAACTTGCTATTTTAAAGATGGATGGTGGTAATTATCAATTCATTAAGGTATTTACATACCACTTGATACATTTCAAAAAACAATGTAACAGTTTTATTTTAAAAAGTCAATATTTACACTATGCCAGAAAATGAATTCTGAGCAACTTTAAAATATGATGAATAATCTTATACGTTAACTTTAAAAGTTAAGTTTTCGGCTGGGAGCAGTGTCTCATGCCTGTAATCCCAGCACTTTGGGAGGCCGAGGTGGGCAGATCACTTGAGGTGAGCAGGTCACTTGAGGTCAGGAGTTTGAGACCAGCCTGGCCAACATGGTGAAACCCTGTCTCTACTAAAAATCCAAAAAATTGAGAAACACCCAAGAATGATCAATTAAAAAAAAAAAAAAATCCAAAAAATTACCTGGGCGTGGTGGTGCATGCTTGTAATCCCAGCTGCTTGGGAGGCTGAGGCAGGAGAATCGCTTGAACCTGGGAGGCGGAGGTTGCCGTGACCCGAGATCACGCCATTGCACTCCAGCCTGGGTGACGAGCAAAACGCCGGCTCAAAAAAAAAAAAAAAAAAAAAAAAAGTTGGGAGTTTTCTTAGGGGGTTACATGAGCAAAAAATGTTAAGACCAGTGTTCCAGGCAATCAGCGCTGGGTGGTGCTGTCTCTGGAAGTGCTGCTGGCAGTGTTTTGCCATCTCATGCATCCCCTACTATGGGGTTACCTGTACCCATTAGCACTCAAGTTAGAGGCATGGAAAATTAAACCTGGAACGATCTTTTAGCGGTTCTATCTCTCAATTTTACTGGCTTTGTGACCTTGGCCAAACTATTCACATCTCTAAGCTTCATTAATAATAGTTCAACATGACACAGAGAATATCGTGAAGTTCTACACCTACTGAATTGCCAAATAAATTGCCAGGCCAGTATCAGACTCCTGGGCTCAAGCAATCCTCTCTCGTTGGCCTTTCAAAGTACTGGGATTACAGGCATGAGCCACCTGCACCCCGCCAGCATGTTAATTCTTAAAACACGCATGTTTGTTACTCATCCTTTAGGAAGCATTACTCTAAAAAGCAAGATACATTCCTTGTGGGTACATCCTATTGCTTGCGTGAAAACAGCCAGTGTTGAGAGAGGAAAGCACATGTGCTATGTGCGGAAACTCTCAAAGATACAATAGTACTGGGGAAAATTTCTGGGAAGGAGGATTTAGTATTTGTCCTTTTTTTTTTTTGAGACAGAATTTTGCTCGTCACCCAGGCTGGAGTGCAGTGGCGTGATCTTGGCTCACTGCAACTTCTGCCTCCTGGTTTCAAGCAATTTTCCTGCCTCAGCCTCCCGAGCAGCTGGGATTACAGGCGTGCGCCACCACGCCCATCTAATTTTTGTACTTTTAGTGGAGACGGGGTTTCACCATGTTGGCCAGGCTGGTCTCAAACTCCTGACCTCAAATGATCCGCCCGCCTCGGCCTCCCAAAGTGCTGGGATTACAGGCATGAGCCACCATGCCTGTCCGAATGTTCTTTTGTATGGTTTGATTTTTAAAAATCATGTTCGCTTATTACCTTAAAAAAAAATCCCCCAAAACCAAACAGGACACCTATGGACAATACAATCACATACCAGACCCCACATGGGAAAACTTTTCTTTTCTTTTTTTTTTTGAGACAAAGTTTTGCTCTTGTTGCCCTAGCTGAAGTGCAATGCGGCGATCTTGGCTCACAGCAACCTCCACCCCCCAGGTTCAAGAGATTCTCCTGCCTCAGCCTCCTGAATAGCTGGGATTACACGCCTACGCCACCATGCCTGGCTAATTTTGTATTTTTAGTAGAGACGGGGTTTCTCCATGTTGGTCAGGCTGGTCTCAAACTCCCAACATCAGGTGATTCACCCACCTCGGTCTTCCAAAGTGCTGGGATTACAGGCATGAGCCACTGCACCCGACCGGGACAACATTTTAAAACAAGTATTCAAAATATTCCGCAGCATTTCCTTTAGCTTCTACCATTGAAAAAATATCATCCAGCAAGAGTGCTGCTCACATTCAATCTCTGCTCCTAAACTGCTCCCTCTGAAAGTCCTGCCTGTCCTCATTGCTTGTGTAGGCAGATCAGTGGGGAAAGAGAATGAGTCAGCCTTGGGCCTGGCCCTGGCTGAAGTGGTGTCACTGTCTTTCTCCCATCCTGTTTTTCTTGTGTCGCTGCAGAGCGAGCCGCCCTTGGCCCATTTCCTTTCCCACCTCTGCTCCTGTCCTACCTGATGGCTTCAAATCCCGGTGACCTTTGGGACCAGCCTCATGGCTCTACCCAGCAGTTCCCCAAATTTCATCTCTTTGTAAGCCATGGTCACCATTTTGCTAGATTGAGTGGTAGTTATTAATACTTTCCTTAAATTGAGTTAATTATTATTTTTTGAGATAGTCTCGTTCTGTTGCCCAGGCTGGACTGCAGTGGAATGGTCTCGGCTCACTGCAAACTCCGCCTCTTATGTTCAAGCAATTCTCCTGCCTCAGCCTCCTGAGTAGCTGGGATTACAGGTGCGTACCACCAAGCCCGGCTAATTTTTGTACTTTTTTTTTTAGTAGAGATAGGGTTTCACCATGTTGGCCAGGTTGGTCTCGAACTCCTGACCTCAGGTGATCTGCCTGCCTCGGCCTCCCAAAATGCTGGGATTACAGGTGTGAGCCACCATGCCCGGCCTAGTTTTTTAAATCCATATGGGATATATATATAGACATTTTGCAGTTGGTGAAGTTACTTCTCTTTAATACTCTCTTTATAAAATAGGGATAATAATGGTACTCATCACCCTGTGCCATCTACATGATTTACAAGGCCCAGTGCAAAATTCCCGGCCTGGAGCAGAGCACAGAAGTCAGACTCCCCCTTACTACAGCCCTAATGGATTGCAACTTCCCTGCAGGGATGGGACAGGTGAGAGGCCCCTGCCCACTTGCCTGCCTAATGTGCTGTGGTACCAGCCACCCTGCCCTGAGATTCGGAGGGTGCAATCCCAACGCTGCCTGGGCAAGAGTGGGATCAGGGAGGGTAGGGAGAAGCCCCAGGGCAGCTCGAGTGGGCCAGGGCAACTGAGAACCTGTCCCATTGGACTTCACTTAAAAAACACAAATTCAAAGATAAAATTAAGAATTTCAAGCATGGGATACTTCTGAGTGCCTGGCCCTTTCCACCAGAGTGATCAAAGCCTGCATTGACTGTCCACCCATGAAGCTAGTCCTGCTATCACATAGGGTTGTTGTGAGGAATGAATGAATACTTGTACAGGTTTAAGACTAATGCCTGGCACCTTTGAAGGACAATATAAGTGTTGGCTATTGTTTCTATCACTTCCATAGATGGAACACAGGTATTTTTCAAATATGCATTTGTTCAGCAAACACTTATTATTCTGTGCCAGGTACTGACACATTTCATTTTATCTTTTTAATTTTTTCCTTGATTCTGCATTAAAGGAAAGAAATTCTAGCAGGGAAGAACTTTTATTATTTGCTTACTCCTGCCACGAAATATCTAAGAGGCCTCCAGGAGACGCCATGCCTTGACTTTCAGTACTGACTGTCAATGAGTATGCAACTCAGCATCCACTGATGTGTGGAAAAGTCTCGGGAAAAGGTGTCAAGCTAGAGGGCAGTAGATTCCCGGCCTGCCCAGGCTCTCATCATCCTCTAATGCTATTTTCCACTGCCAGGATCTCAAAACGAGTCAGCCTTTCAACTTTACTCAGTAATTATTCTTGACCACTGAAAATCTCACAATTCACTACCTGGGGTCAGTGCATCTACAGCAAAGGTACCAGTGGATGGGGAGGAATCAGGAAGCCTCGAGTGTGTGCTATGATGCTCCTTGGAAGGCACCACAACCTTTCCTCAGCTCTGTCCCAGCATTTTCTATGAAGTTGGCAATGTTCTATTATGTGCTATCTCATACAGTAGCCACTGGCCACACACAGGCTACTGAGCATTTAAAATGTGGCCGCTGTAATCGAGGAACAAGTTTTTTTTTTTTTTTTTTTTTTTGAGACAGAGTCTCGCTCTGTCACCCAGGCTGGAGTGCAGTGGCGCGATCTCGGCTCACTGCAACCTCTGCCTCCCAGGTTCAAGCGATTCTCCTGCCTCAGCCTCCTGAGTAGCTGGGACTACAGGTGCATGCCAACACACCCAGCTAATTTTTTGTATTTTTAGTAGAGACGGGGTTTCACCATGTTGGCCAGGATGGTCTCGATCTCTTGACCTCGTGATCCACCCGCTTCGGCCTCCCAAAGTGCTGGGATTACAGGCGTGAGCCACCGCTCCCGGCCGAGGAACTCAATTTTTAATTCAATTTAAAAGTACTGAATTTCAATTGATTCAGTTAGAAATTGAGGAATCCGGCCGGGCGCGGTGGCTCAAGCCTGTAGTCCCAGTACTTTACGAGGCCGAGGCAGGTGTATCACAAGGTCAGGAGTTCAAGACCAGCCTGGCCAAGATGGTGAAACCCCGTTTCTACTAAAAATATGGGAGGGGGGTGGGGGCGGGGAACTTAGCCGAGCGTGGTGGTGGGCACCTGTAATCCCAGCTACTCGGGAGGCTGAGGCGGGAGGGAGGATCGCTTGAACCCGGGAGGCAGAGGGTGCAGTGAGCCGAGATCGCACCACTGCACTCCAGCCTGGGCGACAGAGCAAGACCCGGTCTCAAAAAAATAAAAATAAATAAAAACAAAAACACACACACAAAAACATATGCGTGCTGTTGTATTGGATAGCACAGCTCTGGATGTCTGGCGTTAGAGGGCTAAGTTACTTAACTCTTACTATCACTGATATGCTGGCACTCTGTTCATTACAAGGGCTGAAAAGGTCTTTAAGAGATCATCGGGTGACTTTAAAATCCCCATCTCACAGGCAGAGGTGAGCGGAGGCGCCGCTGGTCCGCTGCGCGCAGGGCCCACGCCCTCCCAACACCCGCCGGCGCTCCACTCCCGCACTGAACGGCTGAAAAGCAGAACAGTGCTGGCTCCGTTTCGTGTGTGGAGTTACTACAGAGTTCCGAAGCCCGGACGCGCACACGTCCTTCACCTAGTTAGTGGGAGAGCATAGAGGCGCGGGTGCGGGAGCGCGCTCAGGCACGCGGGGCTGCGGGGGGCGGTCTCGGCTGGGCCGCCGGAGTAAAGACCCAGGCGCAGCCAGGCGCCGCCCGCCCGCCAACAGCTCGCGTAACCTCCCGGAACGGCCAGTGCCCTCCCAGCCCGGCCCCCACCGCGCCCGCGCCGGCGGCCAGCGGGGACACGCGAGTCCGCCGCGGGACAGACCCGGCCCGAGCCTACCTGCGCGCGCCGTGCCGTCCCCGCTGTCCCCGCCGCCCAGCCCCGCGGCCGCGCGCAGCGCGCTCCCGCAGCTCGCCGACAGGTTCCCGGTGGCCCTGCGTGCCAGGGTCAGGATGGGCGCCGACCAGCCCTCGGCCGCCCGCGGCCTCGTTGCGCTCCGCAGGTCGCCTGGGCCGGGCAGCTGGCTTCGGTCCACGATCTCAAACTCTTCTCCCGGCTCAAGCGCTGACCCGGGCCCCGGCCCCGGCTCCAGCTCCGGCTCCAGCTCCCGCCCCCGCCCAGCAGCGCAGCCGCCTTCCCGGTCGGCCATCTTGGCCGTGTCATGTGACCCAGCGGGCGGGCGGGCGCGGGGTGGGGGCGGGCGGGCATCGCCTTTGCCTTAGGTGGGGGAGATTTTTCTCCCTCTTCACCGCCTCGCCTTCCCTCTGTTTCGAAAGGTTCGGGAAAGTCCAAGTCATAACATAAAAAGTGTGCGTATTCCCGGCCGCCGGCAGGACCTGTTCGCGGGGAAGTTCCTCTTGAACTTTCTCCGAGGACAGTTGTGCACCCTGCCCGGCGCTTCACGGGGTTCCCTGGCCGTCGTTGTCTTTGTGACACCATTTCCTCTTTTAAATTTTCATTTCATGGTCTATATTTTCCACTTCGTCATTTTTCTGTAGCACTCATTAGAACAAGCCCCGAAAGGGCGACTAAGGAAACGCACAGGCGAGGCAGGAAAGCAGGAATTTTTTTTTTTTTTTAATCTAATGACTATGACGGCTTGGCAAGAAAGAGTGCACGATAGTGGACTGGAAATCAGAGGTGGCTTCTCCTATTGATTAGTTAAGTGGGATAACAAAAACCGACCTCATTATTAAATAAGATTTGCAGTAAGGACCACATGGCAGATGTTAGCGATTGTGACTACTATCTCTGGTATCCAACTGTGTGGCCTGGGTAAGTCACTATACACTCAGTCTGTTTCTTCACTTGGAAAAGAAAGGAATTTGAGTAAGTACAAAGGAAAATTTTGGCCGGGCGCGGTGGCTCACGCCTGTAATCCCAGCACTTCGGAAGGCCCAGGCGGGCCTTTAGTAGGACGAAACCCCGTCTCTACTAAAATACCAAAACAACAACAACAACAACAACAAAAAACCAGCCAGATGTCGTGGCGGGACAGCTCTACTCCTAGCTCCTTGGGGGGCTGAGAGTGGGAGGATCGCTTGAGCCCGGGAGGTCGATCCCACAGTGAGCGGAGATCATGGCCACTGCACTCCAGGCTGGGCGACAAAGTGAGACCCTGTCTCAGAAAAAACACTAAAATTTACTAGCACTTAACACTTTGCAAAGTGAGGCAACATGAGCCACACCAAACCAGCAGAGCTGTTTTGATTCCCAGAATGTTTACAAATCTTAAAACTTGTTGCCAATATTTAGAAATCAAAAGATTTCACATAAGAATCTGGATTTTAGCTTTCTCTGGAATCACTGGAATATTTGGTAACTCATGGCATATTCCCAGATGGCAACAAACTGTTGGGAATAAACTGTGCTGCCCCTTTAGACGCCCAGCTGCTCCCTGGACCTGTCTTGGTCCAGCCCACTTCACTAGGTTGCATGATATGTCTGGTCCCTGAAAGGCCAGTTCTCAGTGAAGGGATACCACTTCATCTAGGAGTGTTTTGGGAATTTGTGGAGTTGGTGTTTGAGTTGTGTAATGACTGAGGGCATACTACCAGTCTTTTTTGTTTGTTTGTTTTCGTACGGAGTCTCGCTCAGTCGCCCAGGCTGGAGTGCAGTGGCGCGATCTCGGTTCACTGCAAGCTCCACCTCCCGGGTTCACGCCATTCTCCTGCCTCAGCCTCCCGAGTAGCTGGGACTACAGGTGCCCGCCACCACGCCCGGCTAATTTTTTTTTTTTTTTGTATTTTTAGTAGAAACGGGGTTTCACCGTGTTAGCCAGGATGGTCTTGATCTCCTGACCTCGTGATCCGCCAGCCTCGGCCTCCCAAAGTGCTGGGATTAGAGGCGTGAGCCACCACGCCCGGCCTGGTCTTGTTTGTTTGTTTGTTTTTGAGGCCAAGTCCTGCTCTGTCACCAAGCTGGAGTGCAGTGGCGCAATCTCGGCTCACTGTAACCTCTGCCTACCGGGTTCAAGCGATTTTCCTGCCTCAGCCTCCCAAGTAGCTGGGACTGCAGGGGCGTGGCGCCACACTTGGCTAATTTTTGTACTTTTAGTAGAGACGGGGTTTCACCATGTTCGCCAGGATAGTCTCGATCTCTCGACCTCGTGATTCCCCCGCCTCGGCCTCTCAAAGTGTTGAGATTACAGGCGTGAGCCACTGAGCCCGGCCCTACTAGTCTTTACTGGATGCATAGACAGGGATGAAGATAGTCTAGAATAACAGCATTGTCCCGAATCCTTCATGACTTTCCAATGCTACTGGACATTTATGTAGGTGAAAAGTTTGTTTATAATGATCAGGGCGTGGAACCGAATTCCATTTTGTATAAAAACATTAACTCTTTTTTGGGGGAACAGTTTCAACATTTATCAGGCAAGGTTATTCTTCAGTAACAACCCCCAAATCTCAATGGCTTAACCTAAAAGCTGGTTTCTCATCATGCTACATGTCAATGTAGATGGGGTGAGTACTCTGCCCAACTCATTGTAGTCTCTCAGGACCCAGCCTGTTGGGAGTTTTGCATAAATATTACATGCTCCAGTCCTGCATGACAAAGGTCACTTATGCACATTTCATTGGTGAAAGCAAATCACATGGCCACGTTTAATTTCTAGGGAGTTGGGAAGTTCAGACCTATTTCTGTCTGGGAAAACCACAACTGGGAATCTTTGTGAGCAGTGTAATGACTACCATAAGTGTACCCTAAATTTTCCTGGAACGTAGCTAAATTGATTTGTTCAGAATTACACGTGCAAATGTCTATGTTATTTCAGTGGTAGTTGTGCCTCGTTTACATATTGAAATATATCTCATTTTATAGTGCTTCGCTTTATTGCTTTTTTAACAAATTAAAGTTTTTGGCAGCCGGGCACGGTGGCTCACGCCTGTAATCCCAGCACTCTGGGAGGCACAGGTGGGTGGATCACCTGAGATCAGGAGTTCGTGACCAGCGTGGCCGACATGGCGAAACCCCGTCTCTACTAAAAACACAAAAATTAGCCAGGCGTGGTGGTGGGAGCCTATAATCCCAGCTACTCTGGAGGCTGAGGCAGGAGAATCGCTTGAACCTGGGAGGCAGAGGTTGCAGTGAGCCGAGATCGAACCACTGCACTCCAGCCTGGGCGACAAGTGCAAAAAAAACTGCGTCTCAAAAAAAGAAAAAGTTGCTGTTGGCAACCCAACAGCACGTGCTTATTTTGTGCCTCTGTTTCACATTTTCGTAATTCTCAAAATATTCTAAACTTTTAAACTACCCTTACATCTGTTATATGATTTGTGATCTGTGATCTTTGGTGTTACTATTATTAATTGTTTTGGGGCACCACAAACTGCACCCATATAAGATGGTAAACTTAATTGATAAATGTTGTATGTGTTCTTACTGCTCCACCAACCACGTGTTTCCTTCTCCCTTACCCTCTCCTCGGGCCTCCCTGTGCCCTGAGACACAATATTGAAATTAGGCCAATTAGGCCGTGGCTCAAACCTGTAATCCCTGCACTTTGGGAGTCTAAGGTGGGCAGATCACTTGCGATCAGGAGTTCCAGGCCAACATGGTGAAACCCTGTCTCTACTAAAAATACAAAATTAGCTGGGTGTGGTGGCAGGCACCTGTAATACCAGCTACTGGGGAGGCTGAGGCACGAGAATTGCTTGAACCTGGGAGGCGGAGGTTGCAGTGAGCTAAGATTGCATCACTGCACTCCAGCCTGGGCGATAGAGTGAAACTCCATCTCCAACCAAAAAAAAGAAAAGAAAAAGGAAAAGAAATTAGGCCAATTAATAACCGTACAATGGCCTCTGAGTGTTCAGGTAAAAGGAAGAGTTGCATGTCTCTCTCTTTATATCAAAAGCTAGAAATGATTAAGCTTAATGAGGTAGGCACGTCAAAAGCCGTGATGGGCCAAAAGCTTGGCCTCTTGCACACAGTTAGCCAAGTTGTGAATGCAAAGGAAAAGTTCTTGCTGGAAATTAAAAGTGCTACTCTGGCCAGGTGTGGTGGCTCATGCTTGTAATCCCAGCACTTTGGAATGCTGAGGCGGCCGATCACATGAGGCCAGGAGTTTGAGACCAGCCTGGCCAACATGGTGAAAACCTGCCTTTACTAAAAATACAAAAATTAGCCAGGTGCAGTGCTGCGCCTGTATTCTCAGCTGCTTGGAAGGCTGAGGCATGAGAATCGCTTGAACCAAGAAGCAGAGGTTGCAGTGAGCCAAGATCAGGCCACTGCACTCCAGCCTGGGCAACAGAGCAAGACTCTGTCTCAAAAAAAAAAAAAAAAGTGAAACAGCCTTATTTCTGATAAGGAAAAAGTTTTGGTGGTCTGGATAGAAGATTAAATCAACCACAACATTCCCCTAAGTGAAAACGTAATCCAGACCAAGGCCCTCAACATCAAGGCAACACCCTCCACTGGCAAAAAGATTATGATTCACTGAAGGCTCAGATGGCCTTTAGCATTTAAAATTTTTTTTTTAATTTTTAATTTTTTTTTGCGATGGAGTCTCGCTCTGTCACCAGGCTGGAGTGCAGTGGTGCCATCTCTGCTCACTGCAGTCTCTGCATCTTGGGTTCAAGTGATTCTCCTGCCTCAACCTCCTAAGTAGCTGGGATTATAGGCGTGCGCCTCCATGCCCAGCTAATTTTTTGTATTTTTGGTAGAGACAGGGTTTCACCATGTTTGCCAGGATGGTCTCGATCTCCTGACCTCGTGATCCGCCCACCTCAGCCTTCCAAAGTGCTGGGATTACAGGAGTGAGCCACTGCGCCCGGCCAGCATTTTTTAGTTATATATATATATTTTGAGACAGAGTCTTGCTGGGTTGCCCGAGCTGGAGTGCAGTGGTGCGATCTCGGCTCACTGCAAACTGTGCCTCTTAGGCTCAAGTGATTCCCCTGCCTTAGCCTTCTGAGTACCTGGGATTACAGGTGTGCACCACCATGTCCAGCTAATTTTTGTAGTTTTAGTAGAGACGGTTTTTTTCCATGTTGCTCAGGCTGGTCCTGAACTCCTGGACTCAAGCGATCTGCCCGCCTCAACCTCCCAGAGTGCTAGTATTACAGGCGGGCGTGAGCCACCGCACCTCGCTGTAAACCATCTTTTTTTTTGAGACGGAGTCTTGCTGTCGCCCAGCCTGGAGTGCAATAGTGCAATCTCAGCTCACTGCAACCTCCGCCTCCTGGTTCAAGCGATTCTCCACCCTCAGCCCGTAAACTGAGACTACAGGCACCTGCCGCCACACTCGGAATTTTTTTATTTTTAGTAGACACAGGGTTTTACCATGTTGGCCAGGCTACTCTCTAACTCCTGACCTCAAGTGATCTGTCCACCTCGGCCTCCCAAAGTGCTAGGATTACAGGTGTCAGCCACCACGCCCAGCCAGTGAAATCATTTTCTGAACGATGCTATATGAAGTTTTCTTGCCAAAAATGTTTGCCTAGGCTGGGCACGGTGGCTCACGCCTATAGTGTCAGCACTTTGGGAGGTTGTAGCGGACGGATTTCTTTGATTCAGGAGTAGAGACTAGCCTGGGCAACATGGTGAAAACCTATCTCTACAAAACACAAAAATTAGCCAGGCGTGGTGGCTGGCACCTGTGATCCCAGCTACTTGGGAGGCTGAGGCTGGAGGATCGCTTGAGTCTGGGAAGTGGAGGTTGAAGTGAGCCAAGGTCGTGCCACTGCACTCCAGCCTGAGCAACAGAGCAAGACTCTGTCTCAAAAAAAAAAAAAAAATTAAGTCTGAGGTATGATCATGAAAAGCAAAATGGTAAAAAAAAAAAAAAGTTTGCTTAAAAACACATCAGGTATCTGGAGCAGCACTGTCCAACAAAACCTTCTGAGGTGATGGGAATGTTTTTCATTTGCACTGTCCAGTAAGATAGCCAGTGGCCACAAGCAGCTACTGAGCACTTGACATGTGGTTTGCATGACTGAGGAGCTGAATTTTACTTCAGTTCAATTAATTTAAATTTATATGTGCCTGGTGACTACTGTACTGGCCAGCACAGCTTGAGATCTAGCTTCCAGTTTGCAGAAAACGTAGAGGAGAAAGGAGGAAGTGAAAACAGCACCTGTTGTAAACCCCAAGAGACAACCCTGATGAGATCAGAGCAATCTGCTGGGAAAGACATTTTTTAATTGGGGAACTTTGAATATGGGCTAGATACTAGGTGATATTATGGAATTACTGTAAATTCTGTTAGATGTGATAATGGATTGTGCTTGCATAGGAAAATTCCCTTCTTTTTAGGAGCTGCATTAGTCTCTTAAGTAGCAGCATGTCAGGATGTCTAGACCTCACCTTAAAATACTTCCAAAAAATAAAATAGATGATGCAAAAATGGCAAATTGTTGAAAACTTTTAAATTTAGGTAATGAGTATAAAAGAGTTATATTCTGTTTACTTCTCTGAATGTCTCAGTTTTCATAATAAAAAGTAAAATGGGCCGGGCGCGGTGGCTCACACCTGTAATCCCAGCACTTTGGGAGGCTGAGGCGGGCGGATCATGAGGTCAGGAGATCGAGACCATCCTGGATAACACGGTGAAACCCCGTCTCTACTAAAAATACAAAAAAATAGCCGGGCATGGCGGCAGGCGCCTGTAATCCCAGCTACTCGGGAGGCTGAGGCAGGAGAATGGTGTGAACCCGGGAGGCGGACCTTGCAGTGAGCCGAGATCGTGCCACTGCACTCCAGCCTGGGTGACAGAGCGAGACTCCGTCTCAAAAAAAAAAAAAAAAGTAAAAATGATGGGCTGGGTACAGTGGCCTACGCCTATTATCCCAGCACTTTGGGAGGCCGAGGCAGGTGGATCACGAGGTCAGGAGTTTGAGACCAGCCTGGCCAACATGGTGAAACCCTGTCTCAATTAAAAATACGAAACTTAGCTGGGCATGGTGGCTCACACCTGTAGTCCCAGCTTCTCAGGAGGCTGAGGCAGGAGAATTGCTTGAGCCCAGGAGGCAGAGGTTGCAGTAAGCCAAGATCGCACCACTGCACTCTCCAGACTGGGCGACAGAGCAAGACTTTCATCTCAAAAAAAAAAAAAAAAAAAAAAAGGCCAGGCGCGGTGGTTCACGCCTGTAATCCCAGCACTTTGCGAGGCCGAGGCGGCAGATCATGAGGTCAGGAGATCGAGACCATCCTGGCTAATACAGTGAAACCCCGTCTTTACTAAAAATACAAAAAGTTAGCCGGATGTGGTGGCGGGCGCCTGTAGTCCCAGCTACTCCGGAGAGGCTGAGGCAGGAGAATGTTGTGAACCCTGGAGGCGGAGCTTGCAGTGAGCCGTGATGGCACCACTGCACTCCAGCCTGGGCAAGAGTGGGAGACTCCATCGCAAAAAAACAAAAAGTAAAAAGATGTATAAAAAAGTGAGTCCATATGAAACAAGAATCAATGTTTCATAAATGGTGAAAAGCCCCTACAAAAACCTTGACTGAGATTTTATTTTGGATAATAAAAACAAAAATTATGAAAATAAGTTTATCTTATATATAACAAAATTTAGAATATGTTTGCAACTGTGTGCTAGTTTTTAGAACGAATCAAGAATGAACAAGTGTTGACTTTTGTGCATAATTTTTCTGGAAAATTACATGATTCAAGATATCATTCATTTTACATCTGACTCACGGTAGAGTCAGAAAGAGAGTCTAAAAATATTTAGACTTCATTTTCCTCTCAAAGTCCTCTTTAATTCTTTGGTAGTCAATTTTTTGGTGTCTCTATTTTCATTTTATTTACATCTCTTTGGATTTAGCTAGTCCTCAGCTAATTGACCAAAAGTGGTAAAGTAATTATCCCATTCACCATGTTATTAGTCATTCTGGATTTTTTTTTTTTTCGAGATGGAGTCTCACTCTGTCGCCCAGGCTGGGGTGCAGTGGCGCAATCTCGGCTCACTGCAAGCTCCACCTCCTGGGTTCACGCCAGTCTCCTGCCTCAGCCTCCTGAGTAGCTGGGACTACAGGCGCCAGCCACCACGCCCGGCTATTTTTTGTGTTTTTAGTAGAGACGGGGTTTTACTGTGTTAGCCAGGATGGTCTTGATCTCCTGATGTCGTGATCCACCTGTCTCAGCCTCCCAACGTGCTGGGATTACAGGCGTGAGCCACCGCACCTGGCCCATTCTGGATATTTTTATGGGATATCTCATAGAAAAAGCCATTTTATGATATTGCTGTTCCCTTTATATTTTGAGCCTAAGCTCACTCTTCACTTTAATTCATTTTAAATTTATTGCTTTTTTCAAACCATTCTATTTTGAAGCTCCTGGTGAGTCATCAGCGTTAATTTCCTTCTGTTCACTTGTTGATTGGTCCATAACTCTGCTGACCTCGCCTGTCGGTGGCTTTGTATGCCACTCGAGTGGGGCTTTAATGTCACTTGTTGATTCTGTGAAATCTTGCATTGTGTGTAAGATTCACAATTTAACCGTCCAAATGACTGGCATCCTAGACATCTGAGAACGAGTGAGAGGCTGGCTGGCCATTGGTATGGGACATGGGGATCGATGCTTTGGGGTTCAGCAGGGAGTAAATTTTGAATAGGGATCAGTTTTTAAGTGGTTAATTCATTAGTGAATATGTTATCATTACGAATACCTTTGCTTCTCCAAATGGTCTTGTAGCTGCAGGGACTTGGGGAAAGTATCTTCAGATAAAGAGGACCCTGTCTATCTTGAGTTTGGAACATCAGAGCTTTTTGTGGTGGTTGTAACTAAATGGGGTGTAGGTGCTATTGCTAGGATAAATCAGAACATGGCAGTTATTTTATGAAAATAATCTTGTATTTATTAAAGGACTTGCAAAAAAGTTAACCTGAGGATTTGTGTAATGTGTCTCTAAGAGAGAGCTGTCATTACGTTGGTGAAGTGACCAATCCTTTCCCTGTTTGGCACCTCATACCAGCCACAGGGTAGTAAGAATCTCAAGTGCAGCTGAACTCCTGCTTTCAGAGGAAATACCGGGAGACAGTATGAAAAGAAAGGTGGGCTTTACGCCCCTTCCAGTGGCTTCTACAACAAAAGACTTCCTGATTTGGTGACATTTTTCCATGACACGTCATATTGATTTGTCTTGTTCTCCTCTCTGCCCCACACCATTTTATTATAAACAAATCTGAGGCTGGGCGAGGTGGCTCACGCCTGTAATCCCAGTACTTTGGGAGCCGAGGCGGGCAGATTACGAGGTCAGGAGTTCAAGACCAGCCTGACCAACATGGTGAAACCCCGTCTCTACTAAAAATACAAAAATTAGCTGGGCCTGGTGGCGCGTGCCTGTAATCCCAGCTACTCAGGAGGCTGAGGTAGGAGAATCGCTTGAACCTGGAAGGTGGAGGTTGCAGTGAGCTGAGATCGCACCATTGCACTCCAGCCTGGGCGACAGAGTGAGACTCCATCTCAAAAAAAAAAAAAAAAAAAAAAAATTGAAGATAAGCCGGGTGCGGTGGCTCATGCCTGCAATCTCAGCACTTTGGGAGGCCAAGATGGGTGAATCACTTCAAGTCAGGAGTTTGAGACCAGCCTGGCCAACATGGTGAAACCCCATCTCTACTAAAAATACAAAAATTAGCTGGGCGTGGTGGCGCATGCCTGTAATCCCAGCTACTAGAGGGGCTGAGGCACAAAAATCGCTTGAACCCGGGAGGTGGAGGTTCCAGCGAGTCTAGATTGTGCCACTGCACTCCAGCCTGGGCAACAGAGCGAGACTCTGTCTCAAAAAAAAAAAAGAAAATTGAACAGAGATTATAACACTTTTACCATATCTATCCATTTATCATTCCTAATTTCATCTATTACTCTTACTCTTTGGTGTATTTCAAAGGAAATTCCAGACCCTAATAGTTTAAAAAGCTTTTTGTTATTTCAATCCTACAGAAGAGTTACGAGAATAAAGATGGCACAAAGTACAACTGTATGCCCTTGACCCCAATTCACCTGGAGCTCACGTTTACTTCATTCGTGTCATCATCTGCATGTGCTCCCTCTCTAGATCTGTATGGATATAAGCACATTTTTCCTTGGACTTTGTGAGGGTGAGTTACATACATCATGACCTTTTATTTTTAAACTTTTCAGGATATATTTCTTTTTAAAAAATTATATTCAAATTTTATTGCATTAAGATGATGCATTGGTTAGGACTTGAAAAACTTTGTTTTGGCCAGGCGCGGTGGCTCACGTTTGTAATCCCAGCACTTTGGGAGGCCAAGGTGGGGAGATCACGAGGTCAGGAGTTCGAGACCAGATTGGCCAACATAGTGAAACCCCGTCTCTACTAAAAATACAAAAACTTGCCGAGTGTGGTGGCACGTGCCTGTAGTCCCAGCTACTTGGGAGGGTGAGGTAGGAGAATTGTTTGAATGCGGGAGGCGGAGGTTGCAGTGAGCCGAGACTGAGCCATTGCACTCCAGCCTGGGCAACAGACTGATACTCTGTCTCAAACAAAAACAAAAACAAAAAAAACCCTGTTTTATAGAGATACATCTCTTTTTGTTATTTTTCAGCTTTATTAAAGCTTAACAGACATATAAAGATTATATATATTTATGCTATATGATGTGATGTTTTGGTATATGTATGATTAAATCAAGCTAACTAGCATATTCATCACCTCACATACTTTTCATTGTTTTGTGGTGAGAACATTTGCAGTCTACTCTCTTAGCAATTTCTTTTCTTTTTTTCTTTTTTTTTTTTTTTTTGAGACAGAGTCTTGCTCTGTCACCCAGGCTGGAGTGCAGTGGCACAATCTTGGCTCACTGCAGCCTCTGCCCCTCGGGTTCCAGCGATTCTCCTGCCTCAGCCTCCTGAGTAGCTGGGATTACAGGCGCCCGCCAACATGCCTGGCTGATTTTTGTATTATAAGTAGAGACGGGGTTTCGCCATGTTGGCCAGGCTGGTCTTGAACTCCTGACCTCACATGATCTGCCTGCCTCAGCCTCCCAAAGCGCTGGGATTACAGGTGTGAGCCACTGCACCCGGCCAGCAATTTTCTTTTTTTGTTGTTTTTGAGATGGAGTCTCGCTCTATTGCATACACTGGAGTGCAGTGGTGCGATCTTGACTCACTGCAACCTTCACCTCCTGGGTTCAAGTGATTCTCCTGCCTCAGCCTCCTGAGTAGCTAGGACTACAGGTGTGCACCACCACACCCGGCTAATTTTTGTATTTTTAGTAGAGATGGGGTTTCACCGTGTTGCCCAGGCTGGCCTCGAACTCCTGACCTCAAGCGATCTGCCGACCTTGGCCTCCCAAAGTGCTGGGATTACAGGTGTGAGCCACGACGCCTGGCCTCTCTTAGCACTTTTCAAGTGTACAATACACTATTACATATAGTCACCATGCTATATGTACATTAGTTCTCCAGAAACTCCGTTCCTTTCATCATCATCTCCCCATTTCCTACCCCCATTCCCCAGCCCTCCCCTGATAACCGCCATTCTACTCTGTCTTTCTATAAGTTTGAGGTTTTAGATTCCACATGTGAGATCATTAAGTATTTGTTTCTCTGTGCCTAGTTTATTTTACATAGTATGATGTCCTCCGTGTTTATCCAAGTTGTCACAGTGACAGAATTTCCTTTTTTTTTTTTTTTTTTTTGAGGCTGGGTCTTACTCCCTCACCCAGGCTGGAGTGCAGTGGCGCTGTCTTTCCTCAGCTTCCCCGGGTTCAAGTGATTCTTCCATCCCAGCCACCCAAGTAGCTGGGACTACAGGTGTGTGCTACCACACCCAGGTAATTTTTGTATTTTTTGTAGAGACAGGGTTTCTCCATGTTGCCCAGGCTGGTCTCAAACTCCTGAGTTCAGGTGATCCACCTGCCTCAGCCTCCCATAGTGCTGGAATTACAAGCATCAGCCACTGCGCCTATTGGATTTCCTTCTTTTTAAGGGCTGACTTGCATTCCTTTTTAAAAAAGAGATGGAATCTTACTGTATTACCCAGGCTGGAACTCTTGGCCTCAAGCAATCCTTTGACTCTCCCTTCCAAGTAGCTGGGACTACAGGCACGAGCCACCTCGCCTGCCTTCCTTCACATTTACACACAACACATTTTCTTTATCCATAAATCCGCTTAGGTTTTTTCAATATCTTAGCTACTGTGAATAACGCTGCAATGAACATAGGAGTGCAGATAGATCTTCAACATACTGATTTCATTTCCTTCGGGTATATACCTAGAAGTGGAATTGCTGGATCACGTGGGTAGTTCTATTTTTAATTTCTTGAGGAACTTCCATACTGTTTTCTATAATGGCTGTACTAATTTACATTCCTACCAACAGCAGGACCTATTTTTCGAGAACTGGGATATTCTCTTATGTAACCGTGATAAAGTCTCACCTTCAGTACATTAAACATTGATACATACTTTTAATGTAATCTTGCATTTTATTCAATTCTTAATTTAAAAAAATGATTATATTGTCTGGGCACGGTGGCTCACACCTGTAATCCCAGCACTTTGGGAGGCCGAGGCAGGTAGATCACGAGGTCAGGAGATCGAGACCATCCTGGCTAACAGGGTGAAACGCCGTTTCTACTAAAAATACAAAAACAAAATTAGTCAGGTGTGGTGGTGGGTGCCTGTAGTCCCAGCTACTTGGGAGGCTGAGGCAGGAGAATTGCTTGAACCCGGGAGGCAGAGGTTGCTGAACGGAGATCGCGTCACTGCACTGTCACCCAGGCTGGAGTGCAGTGGTGCAGTCATGGTTCCTTGCAGCCTCAAACTTCTGAGCTCAAGTGATCCTCCCACTTCAGCCACCTGAGTAGCTGGGGCTACAGGCATGAACCATCATGAGTGGCTATTTAATTTAAATATTTATTTAGAGATGGAGCCTCACTCTGTCATCCAGGCTGGAGTGCAGTTCTCGGCTCACTGCAACCTTTACCTCCCGGGTTCGAGCAATCCTCCCACCTCAGTCTCCTGAGTAGCTGGGATTACAGGCATGCGCCACCACGCCTGGTTAATTTTTTTCATATTTTTAGTAGAGACGGGGTTTCACCATGTTGACCAGGCTGGTATTGAACTCCTGAACTCAAGCAATCCACCCACCTCAGCCTCCCAAAGTGCTGGGATTACAGGTGTGAGCCATCACCCCCAGCCTATTTTTTTTTAAACCTTTAATCAATTTTATTCTTCATATTTGGGTAAAGGTACAGATTCTAGAGCATGTCTATGAAGTCATGGTGATATCACCGTGCTAAAGATGATGGCTGTAGGCGAGGCGCGGTGGCTCACGCCTGTAATCCCAGCACTTTGGGAGGCCGAGGCGGGTGGATCACGAAGTCAGGAGATCGAGACCATCCTGGCTAACATGGTGAAACCCCGTCTCTACTAAAAATACAAAAAATTAGCTGGGCGTGGTGGCGGGCGCCTGTAGTCCCAGCTAATCGGGAGGCTGAGGCAGGAGAATGGCGTGAACCCGGGAGGCAGAGCTTGCAGTGAGCCGAGATCGCGCCACTGCACTCCAGCCTGGGCAACAGAGCGAGACTCCGTCTCAAAAAAAAAAAAAAAAGATAATGGCTGTAGGTTGGCTGATAATTTAAAATGCGAGAAAAATGAGAAGCAGCACATCATTGCTTCTTATTCTAGGACATACAGAGAGTTTCTTCACTAAGTGCCACTCCAGTTGTCTTCACAATTTAATGCTACGGAAACCTAAATATTTCTACTTCATCTACGAAATCATTCAATTGGCAGGCAAAACATTTTTTATCACCTATTTATAAAAGTATGAGAAAGGGAAGAAAAGTAATAAAATGAATCAACTCATGCTATCGTAATTCTCCTGTCTAGCTATAAAAGCATACGGTTGTAGGAATTGCTATCTAAAATTTTTATGAGCTGCAGTAGCTGCATTCCATTTTCATTACCATTTTTAAAAATCTTTTTGCTCGGTCATCTAAAGACGTTTTTCAAATTTCAAAAGATCAGCTATTATTGTCCTCCTTGTGCCCCTAGGAATTAATAAAATGCACATTAATTTCCTTCTTTCTAAATGTTCCAGCTAAGAACTAAAAAATAAAAAAATGGGAAACATTTTCTTGGACCATTTTTGTTTTCACTGTAACAACAAAAAATGTGCAAGATAAACAGAACTCAAGTTTTGTTTTATTTTTCTTTTTGTCTGTTTTTTAACAAGTCTGTCCAGAATACTACAGGTTACATAGCTGTAACCATCTTAAGGAAAATGACATTAAGTTTGCAACAAATACCTGCTGGTGAAAACACATTACTAGCATTTCAAAAATTTAACAAAATATCCTAAACAGCTATCTTTATATTTGTAAACGAAGTATAAACAACTGGCTTAACCAGTTTCCACTGCACGTCAAACAGGTGGCAAAGTGATAGAGATCATCTTTGATTTTTTTTTTTTTAAAATCTTCACTTTTCTAGGGTAGGTGGTTCTTCCTAATCGTTTCTTGAGCCAATATTCTCAAACTTTATGGTCTTTTCATTCCTTTATTAGGACCAGAAATTCTCACTCTCTAAAGCTGTGCCTCTTAATCTTTTTCACATTATGATCCCCCTGGGACATGATACTATTTGTTGTATAACACAGCGTTGTAAATGGACGAGCCTGCTTGCTGCAGAGGTAACCCTCGGGACCTGGGACACTGTTTGTTGTATAACACAGCGTTGTAAATGGACGAGCCTGCTTGCTGCAGAGGTAACCCTCGGGACCTGGGACACTGTTTGTTGTATAACACAGCGTTGTAAATGGACGAGCCTGCTTGCTGCAGAGGTAACCCTCGGGAAGTCTGGTTCCCCCGAATTTTACCTGCTCATCTCTGGGCCAAGGGCATAATATCTCTGCACAGCTAATAGCCCGATGGCCACACTAGTCCAGAAGCTCCGCTCTGCACAGAGTTGGAAGTTCATCTACTTCTCAGTGAACAACATCATGAGTTCTTCAAAATTGATGCCGGTGTAGGCCAGGTGAGGTGGCTCGTGCCTGTCATCCCAGCACTTTGTGAGGCCAAGGTGGGCGGACCATTTGAGGTCAGGAGTTCGAGACCAGCCTAGACAACATGGTGAAACCCCGTCTCTACTAAAAATACAAAAATTAGCCAGGCATGGTGGTGGTTGGGAAACTATCCACAGTCATCCGGGTGAGAGATGAGGACTGAACTGAGGCAGAAGCAGTGGGGATTTCACAAGGGAGTCTAAGACCACAGATGCTGGAGAAGGGCGATGGGGAGGCTGTGGTTGTTGGTTGGACATGGGCTACGGGAGGAGAATGAAGTATCCACTGGGCTTGCTGAGCTGGGCATGGGTGAGTTGGGGGGCAGAGGACACATCCAATGTGGACATCCAGGTGGATGCTCAGGCCTGGGAGTACCCCAGGAGTGCAGCTATGTGTGTCTCCTGCCCCACAGACAACCATGAAGGGATGCTGGTGTACGTCAGCCCAAGGTAGGAGGAAGGGCTGGGCAAGGCAGGGAGAGGAGGCCCCAGACCTTTCTACCAAAGCCTATTTACCCGGAGGAGCACAGACCAGACTCTCGTTCCTGTCCTCCCTGTCGTTCCTGACTCTAGGTAACCTTGGTGGACCCCTGTAACTGTCTGGCTCTAGGATTCCTCTTCTGCACAAGAGTGATGCTACCTCATGAGCTTGTGGGGACTCTCACATGCTGAGCTTTTTACATAAAAAAATAGCACAGGACTACATGAGTATATTCTCATTGCAAAAAATCAAAACATGGAAAAGCAAAAGTGCAAGTTTCTGTTCTCCAAACTTCCTTACCCCCTCCGCCCCCCACCTGCCCAATTCCTTCCCTTCCCTTTTTGGGTATCCATATAGACAGTTTCCTTCACATTTACTTACAGACATAGACTTATATGACAAATAGTTTTGTTTTTGGTGTTTCCCTCTAACATTTTGTCCAGAAAATCATATAGAAAAGTTGAAAGAATTGCAGAATGAACACTCTTACAATCACCTAGGTTTTAGAGTAAACACTTTGCTGTACTGCGTTATCACACGCCTCCTTATTTACCCATGCTTCCTTTCCTCCATCTGTCCTTTTACACTTTCACTTTAGCATACGGTGAGTTGCACCAATCTAGAGTCAACATTGTGTAAGGGTTTTTTTTTGTTTTCGTTGTTGTTTTTTGAGATAGGGTCTTGCTCTGTCTCCTCGGCGGTGGCATGCATGATCTTGGCTTACTGCAACTCCTGCCTCCTGGGCTCGAGCGATCCTCCCGCCTCAGCCTTCTAAGTAGCTAGGACCACAGGCGCCCACCACCACGCTCGGCTAATTTTTGTATTTTTTGCAGAGATGGGGTTTCACCATGTGGCCCAGGCTGGTCTTGAACTCCTGAGCTCAAGCTATCTGCCCACCCAGGCCTCCCACAGTGCTGGGATTACAGGTGTGAGCCACTGGACCTGGCCTATTTCTTTACTTTAAAACCTCAGAAGATAACTTACCTCAAATAAAAAATTACTAAAATTAAGGATTTCTAATTGGCTGATTCTTTTTGTTTTTAATTTGTGGTAAGAACATTTAACATGGGATCTACCCTCTTCACAAATTAAGTGGGCAGTGCAGTATTATGAACAGGCATGACGTTGTGCAGCAGATAACACGTTCATCAATGGGCTGAAACTTTCAACCCATTGAACAGCAACTCCCCACTTCCTCCTCCCCTCAGCCCCTGGAAACTACCATTGTACTCTCTGCTTCTGTGAGTTTGACTATTTTATTTTAATTAATTCATTAATTTTTTTAGACAGAGTCTCGTTTCGTCACCCAGGCTGGACATGATCTCGGCTCACTGCAACCTCCACCTCCCAGGTTTAAGTGATTCTCCTGCCTCAGCCTCCTGAGTAGCTGGGATTACAGGTGCCTGCCGCCATGCCCAGCTAATTTTTACAATATTTTTAGTAGAGACGGGGTTTCACCATGTGGCCAGGCTGGTTTCGAACTTCTGACATCAAGTAATCTGCCCACCTCGGCCTCCCAAAGTGATGGGATTACAGGCATGAGCCACCACACCCAGCTGGTTTCCTTTTTTTCTTTTTTCTTTTTCTTTTTTGAGAGGGAGTCTCACTCTGTCCCCCAGGTTGGAGTGTAGTGGAATGATCTCAGCTCACTGCAACCTCCGCCTCCCAGGTTCAAGTGATTCTCCTGCCTTGCCTCCTGAATAGCTGAGATTACAGGCATGCACCACCACGCCCAGCTAATTTTTGTATTTTTCGTAGCGAGAGAGTGGGTTTCACTATGTTGGCCAGGCTGATGTCAAACTTCTGACCTTGAGTGATCCACCTGCCTCTTCCTCCCAAAGTGCTGGGATTAGAGGCCTGAGCCACCGCGCCCAGCCGGCGGTTTCTTTCTAGGTAGACGGTGATATCATCTTCGAATTATGACAATTTTCTCTCATCTTCCAATCCTTACATCTTTTCTTTCTTTTTCTTTCCTTAGGGCATTGACCAGGAGAATGCAGTTCTGTGTTAAACCACAGGGGATTACTGAGTATTTTTGTGTTAATTAATCCTGACTTAAAGGATTAATTAATTAAGGATCTTTGCAATTTTCTTCCTCAAGTAAAATTTTGATGTAAGCTTTTGGTATATGAAATTTACTAGTTGAGAAAGTTTCTTCCAGTCTTAATTAGTTAAGAGGGAAAAAATCATAAGTAGGCTTTAAATCTTATCAAATTTCTTTCTGAATAGACTGAGATAATTATATGTTTTTTTTCTTTTTACTGTGGTAGCTCATGTTAATAGATTTTTTGATGTTGAAAAATTCTTCCCAGGACTCCGGGAGTCTGAAGCAGGAGGATCGCTTGAGCTCAGGAGTTTGAGACCAGCCTGGGCAACATAGTGAGACCTCATCCCTATTTAAAAAAAAAAAAAAATATATATATATATATATGTGTGTATATATACATATACACACACATGTATACCTATATAGACACACATATATACATATATATACACACATACTATAAAAAAGAAAAATTCTTATATTCCTAAGCTAAGTTTTACTTGATTTTATATGCAGTTGGCCCCTCGTATCCTGGGGTTTTACATCTGTGGTTTCAATCAACCGTGGATCAAAAGTATTTGAAAAACAAAAGCAATAAAAAAAAAACAAGAAAAAATAATATAAATAAAAAAATCAATACAACAACTTTTTTTTTGAGACAGTCTTGCTTTGTTGCCTAGGCTTGAGTGCAGTGGTACCATCACAGCTCACTGCAGCCACAACTTCCTGAGCTCAAGTGAGCCTCCCACTTCAGCCTCCTGAGTAGCTGGGACCACAGGCTGGTCTCGAACTCCTGGGCTCAAGTAATCCTCCTGCCTCAGCCTCCCAAAGTGTTGGGATTACAGGAGTGAGCCACCATGCTTGGCCCCAACAGCTATTTACATAGCATTTACATTGTATTAACTAGTAGTGTAAATAATTTAGAGGTGATTGGGCCGGGCATGGTGGTTCACGCCTGTAACCCCAGCACTTCGGGAGGCCGAGACGGGCAGATCACGAGGTCAGGAGATCGAGACCATCCTGGCTAACACAGTGAAACCCCGTCTCCACTAAAAATACAAAAAATTAGCTGGGTGTGGTTACAGGCGCCTGTAGTCCCAGCTACTCGGGAGGCTGAGGCAGGAGAATGGCGTGAAGCCGGGAGGCAGAGCTTGCAGTGAGCCGAGATCACACCACTGCACTCCAGCCTGGGCGACAGAGCAAGACTCCATCTCAAAAATAAAATAAAATAAAATAAAATTTAGAGGTGATTTAAATTATACCTCTAAATAATTAACCTGGGACAGAGGATGTGCATAGGTTATAGGTTATACGCAAATACAGATGCTCCTTGACTTATGATGGGGTTACAACCAAATACATCCATCGTATAGATTGACCATATGGCGAGTTGAATTTACAATGGGTTTATCCAGATGTAACCCTATTGTAAGATGAGAAGCGTTCTGAATGCCCATTGCTTTTGCACCATTGGCAAGTCAAATCCCAATTGAAGCCATCATAAATTGGGGACTGACAGTACAATGCTACTTTATATAAGGGACTTGAGCATTGTGGATTTTGGGGGGAGGGTCCTGGAACGAATCCCCTGTGGATACAGAGGGACTGCTGTATATATACATCTACAGGGCAAGATAGTTTATTTTTAAAAATTATACCATGTCGATTGTGATGACTGGCATATAGATTATGATGGTTTTTCTCTGATGTTGTATACTGAAATGTTTTCATAGGACCAAGAATGTTAGAAAAATAAAGATCTTAAATACAATATGATAAATTTATATATATACTATTTGATTCTGTTAGCTATATTTTGTTTTATATCAGTGATCATAAGTAAAAAATGGTTTTATAATTTTATTTTTATGTTAACCTTATCTGATTTGAGAATTAAAAATTCTAGTTTCATAAAATGAACTGGATAATTTTTATACTTTTTCTATTTTCTTGTACAGCACACTGTCCAGTAGAAATATAATGCAAGAACACATGTGACTTAATGTTTGTAGTAGCCACTTAGAAAAGTAAAAAGAAATATGTGCAATGAGTTTTAATAATATATTTAATTCAATACGTCCAAAGTAGTGTCATTTGAACATGTTATCAACATAAACATGAATGAAATATTTCACCTTCTATTTTTGTACTAAGTTTTCGAAATCTGTTCTTTTATATTGATAGCACTTCTTAATTCAGACACGAAATTTTCATAAGAAGTACATGATTTGTATTTAGGTTTCATAAAATTTACAATTCAAAAAGTAGATTCACATACGCGAATCGTTTCAAACATACCTCTGGGCCCAGCGCCTCGCCCTGTCCTCGCCGGGTGAAGTCGGCCCTGACTGCAGCCTGCGAAGCACCCGCCCATTGTCCCCGGAGAGGGCGCCCTGGACGCAAGCGCAGAGCCCCGGGAGGCGCGGGAAGCCGGAGGAGGGCGATGGGGGCGAGGCAGGAAGAGTACGTGGGGCCGAGGGGGGCGAGCGCTGGGCCGCCCGCAGCCGGAGAGTGTCGCCCCTCCTGAAGGCCCTGGGCAGGTGAAATGAGGACCAGCGCTGACAAAGGGCAGGATGCAGAAGACTCCTGACTTTGGATCTCAGATCACCCTCGGAAGCTCCGATTCGGATCCGCGTCCACAGACCCGGCGACCTCAGACAGACCGGGCGTCCGGGGAAGAGGCGGCGGCAGTGAGCACCGCAGTGAGGAAACCAGGCTCCGGCGATCCCCAGGCCTTACGCCCGACCCCAGGGCATTTGGGAGCAGGTCTGCGTCCGGGACCAGCACACTCTGGACGGGAGCTCTGCCTTTCTGGGGTCCTCCAGCTGAAGGATGTGAGTTGCAAGAAACCCATTCTGTAGACCTCGAAATCAGCGGGGAGCCCCAGGCACTTGTGGGGGGACTTTGATGTGGCTCCCACGCATCCACCCGGCACCGCGTGGATTGCCAGGGGCAGGACGAGCTTGAGTGGACGCTGGGTTCGCTGAGCCCCCCAGAGGCTCCTCGCCCTGGGTCACCTGTGCCGCCTTGGACCACCCAGAGAAACCTTTCCTCCCACCAGGTGAGCCGCAGGCCAGGCGCCAGGCCTGAGTGTGCCCGGGACGGGGATTTCTCTGTGAACGGCCCATCATCCCATAATATCCACGTTGTCTTAGCCTCATGTTCTGAAGAAACACGAATTTCATACACAAGCGTGGATTTTTGCATGTTTTAAATTGTAAATGCGACTAACTCCAAGGAAGTTGGAACTTGAAGCAGGCTCAAAGCAAACTTAGTCGCGTCATCCGCCACCATCCTCCAGGGTAAACCGAGGAGCACAGTTAATTGGTTTTCCACGGGTATTTGCCACTTGTCAGATGGGCTGTTATGGACGTAACCACGTAATTCCTGGAACCCAGTGAGAGTCAGCTTCCTTTACGGGCGTCTGACAAGATGTGCTCAAACACCTTGAAGATCTTTATGGAAACAACTTTTGGCTCTTTATCAAGATGTCATTCAGGGCTCTGAACAGTCGAATACGTTGTGGATGGGTTTGCTGTAGTTATACAGTGTGCATTTGATACTTGTCAATAGCGCTAGTAATGTTATTGCAAAAATAAAACCTTCTTTAAAAAAGAGGCCGGGCGCGGTGGCTCACGCCTGTAATCCCAGCACTTTGGGGAGGCTCAGGCAGGTGGATCACGAGGTCAGGAGATGGAGACCATCCTGGCTAACATGGCGAAACCCCGTCTCTAGTAAAAATACAAAAAATTAGCCGGGTGTGGTGGCGGGCGCCTGTAGTCCCAGCTACTCGGGAGGCTGAGGCAGGAGAATGGCGTGAACCTGAGAAGCGGAGCTTGCAGTGAGCCGAGATGGCACCACTGCACTCCAGCCTGGGCGACAGAGCGAGACTCTGTCTCAAAAAAAAAAAAAAAAGAGAAAAAAGAAAGAAAGAAAAGTGGCCCGGCACAATGGCTCACGCCTGTAATCCCAGCACTTTGGGAGGCCGAGGCTGGCGGATCGCGAGGTCAGGAGTTCGAGACCAGGCTGGCCAGCATGGTGAAACCCTGTCTCTACTAAAAATACAAAAATTAGCCGGGCATGGTGGCCCGCGCCCAGGCAGGCTGTTCTGGGAGAGAAAACTTGGCTCTCCAATGCGGTGTGGCCATTTGGCTATGACATCACACTGCATAGTTTAATGAGTGAAATCAGACCTCTTCTTGTTATTGGAGATGACTGGAGGATTTTTTTTTTATTTTCCTGAATGTAAGTAGGTAAGCCATGAAGATCCCAGATTTCATTCAGGGACTCAGAACCAGCAGCAAGGAGCAGGCTGCGTGGAGAAAACAGAGTTGGCTCTGGAGTACCCCATGAGTCCAGCTTGTTCAAAGTAAAAGTGGCAATGGCTTTGGGATCACAAAACAGCCCTTGAACATCAAAGTCAATTAGTAGAAACCCCTAAATATCATGGGGCAAAAAATATTTCAAATTTACTTAAATATTCGGTTTATCAGATGGGACTCACTTTTTTTTTCTTTTTTTTTTTTAAACAGATTCTCACTCTGTTGCCCAGGCTGGAGTGCAGTGGCGCCATCTTGGCTCACTGCACCCTCTGCCTCCCGGTTCAAGCAATTTTCCTGTCTCAGCCTCCTGAGTAGCTGGGACTACAGGCACGAGCCACCACGCCCGGCTATTTCTTATATTTTTAGTAGAAATGGAGTTTCACCATGTTGGCCAGGCTGGTCTCAAACTCCTGACCTCAAGTGATCTGCCAGCCTGGACCTCCCGAAGTGCTGGGATTGCAGGCGTGAGCCACGGTGCCCTGCCGGGACTCAATTTTTAACACCTATTTTTAACACTAGCTTTTGTGCTAGTAAATTAAATTAATTCTTTTAAAAAAACCCAATTGTGTGTACTTTAACAAGTAAAACTAAGTTGGTTATAATGTGACAAAAATACAAGCAATAATAATAGCAAAATTATCCAATAGGAACCATGCAGAGAGTTTTATATTATAACTCATGTCCCCTTTCCTGCAATGTTATTAACTTCTATCCCCATTTTCCACATCAAGGAAATTAAGTTTGGAGACACAGAGTGACTTACCTAAGTCACAGGTCTGGTAGGTGGAGAGTTTCTCTCACTCCAGGGACCACAATCTACAAAATAAACTTGCATATTCTACAAAATATTTGTTACCATTGGAAGTAGGTAGGCAGAGTGTTACTAGCATCAAATTATGGCAGGAATAAAAAGAAAGGGTGGTGGGCTGGTCTTGCTTCTGCAGTTTAAGGGGGATCCCTGCGCCGAGATGTCTGGCTAAGTGGTCGTTGTAACAAGTGGCAGAGATGGTGAAAACATCAGGGAGCAGGTGGTGGCTGTTCCAGTTTCTTATCTCAGGAGGGAAGAGCTGCAGATGTCTTTACTGTGAATGAGGGAGAGAAACGCTAAAGCACAGAAATGTTCAGAACCAAAGAGCTGGATCACTCATGCTTCTAGAAAAGACATTGGCATCTTCTCATTGCTCATCTACTGTGCCTGGCACAGCCTTATTTTCTAGCTTTCTGAATGTGAGTTCCATCCATATCCTTTGCATAACGGTGGTACTGGGCTGTGGAGAGCTTGGAATGTGTGTCCATGGGGAAATGGGCTGTTCTGGTTATTATAAAACGGCCAAGGGAGGGCTCCATGGCACACCTCTGAGTAACCCAGGACACTCCTGTTTGGGAAATGCAAACCATCCATACGGCAGGGGCACAATTATAAAGATTGATCCTGTCACGGGAATGGTTTCAAATCTGACCAACCTCATGGCATACATTGGGGAAGCAATTGTGAAACCCCTTGATTCTTTGGATCTGGACATGCTGTACTGTGACAATGGTTTGTGTGTGACAGAAAATGTAGCTGTGTCTACCGGGAAAGACTGGGGAAATTTCTTCCTGTGGAGTTCTTTATAAAGCAAAAGTGCATGAAACTGTCAGTAATATTGTAGTCTATAAAGGGAAATTGCTCTTAGAGGCTAATATTGCACAATGACTACTTTTTTTGCTTATTTGGAAAAGATCTTTATCTCTTGGAGTATTAAGAAGTCAACATATAATTGCCACCCTATACATTGTGTTCTGGAGTGCCTGATTTATTGAAATCAGTGTGAAACCTATTTTAAATAAATATCTATTTCAAAACCAAGGCCAGACATGGTGGCTCATGCCTGTAATCCCACACTCTGGGAGGCTGAGGTGGGAGGATCACTTGAGGCCAGGAGTTCAAGACCAGCCTAGGCAACACAATCTCCACCAAAAAAAAAAAAAAAAAAAAAAAAAAAAGCAATTAGCCAGGCATGGTGGCACATACCTGTTGGTCCCAGCTACTCGGGAGACTGACGCAGGAGGATCGTTTGAGCCCAGGAGTTCAAGGCTACAATGAGCCGTGATGTGCCACTGCACTCCAGCCTGGGTGTGAGACCCTGTCTCCAAAAATAAAGAAGTCTGGAAATATTGACAGTATTTTTCTAATAGATTGAACCCACTTATTCTTCTGGGGTAAAGGCATAAGTTTACACCCGGGAAGTTGGACACATAAATCATCTGCAGCAATGTATGGTGGACGCAGGTGCAGCAGATGATGGGAACGTTGCTTTAAGGCACACCATGCATTGCGGTTTTGCACAACCTGTTGAACTAAGAATTCCTAGTGAGGGGCAGCACATTAAACATGTCATAACAATAAACTATTTATTATGGACAGTAGTCTGTTTTCAGACATTGTGGCTACCCCAAACAACTTTAAGTCAAAAGACATGATCATTTAGTTTAAACCTGTATAAAAAGTCAGTTTAAAAAGGGTGCAGTACTCTGTAATGTATTTTCTATATGGAAATCTTTCCTAATTGGTCCGTTTTTCTGATGATTAAACATCTGGCACACTATAAAAAGAATACAAGCCAGTGGTGTACTAGAGGACACTCATGACCGTGTTTCATCATTTTGAGATTCAATGACATTGAAGGGAGTAAAATAGAAAATATAATAGGTATAAATTTGTAATTATAAGGAATAGGAGGGAAGTTCTTGTTGGAACAAATTGGCTGCAAGGGCCCTCGTGTCGACTTTGCTCCTTTTGAAGAAAGGAGTGTGATGCTTTCACCCTGAGGGATAATCTGAGAGACTTCACCAGTGACACATACTTGACAGATGATATTAAAGCAGACTTTAACAAGCCAACGACAATGTGTTACTTATGAGCAGTAAGAAATACACAGTCTAACCAAAGTGCACCCTTTAGAAAGTGCTGGGCATATAAGTAGTGAGGCCTTTCATTATTCTAATACACATGTTGACTAAATGGACACTTTCTTCAATTCGGATGATAAGACGCCTCTTCCCAGTAGTTGGGATGGCTGTGCGTCTGTCTCAGGCACACATTCCGTGAGAAGCTGTGTAAGATTTCAGTTTATTTGGAGCATCACATCCTTTTTAAACCCTTTACTGAATATAAAATGAAGCCTGACCTCCTGAGTCTTGGAAAATGTGCATTTCTTAGAATTATTTAAACAATGAATCCTCCGGCTGGACTTGGTGGCTCACGCCTCTAATCCCAGCAGTTTGGGAGACCAAGGGGAGTGGATCACCTGAGGCCAGGAGTTCGAGACCAGCCTGGCCAACATGGTGAAACCCCGTCTCTACTAAAAATACAAAAATTAGCCAGCTGTGGTGGTGCATGTCTGTAATCCCAGCTACTCGGGAGGCTGAGGCAGGAGAATCGCTTGAACCCAGGAGGTGGAGGTTGCAGTGAGCCGAGATCACACCACTGCACTCCGGCCTGGGTGACAGAGCGAGACTCTGTCTCAAAAAAAAAAAAAAAAAAAGAAAAGAATCCTTTTAAGTAGTTCATCAGCTTAAGCCATGTTGGCTGAACATTAAGACTTTGTCAAATCCTGGAAACATAGGTAATATCATTTGAAGGTATTAAATTTTAAGGAACAAAATAATATTAAAATTAGGAAGAATTATTTTGCCATAGGATAAAATAGAAATACTGCCATACATTTGACTTATTTGTTTGAAAATCTTTATGTGATTGTTGCTTCATTTTAAAAATCAGACCTCACAAACCTGAGCCAAGTTATGTGCAAAATAATATGCCAGTTGCACAGCCCTGGAGGCCAGTGTGAGCCCTGCCTCCATCTGCCTGCATGTGGGGTCTCCCTAGAAGGAAGCCTTTGGTAGGTGGGTGGGAAGATTAGGGTGCTCGAATGGGTACTGTGAGGAGGTGCAGTGGCACCAGGCTCTAGCAGCCTCCTGCCTCCAGGAGAGGCCCAGGTTGGGATCACTGCAGCGACCAACGCCTCGGATCACTCGAGGGCTAGAAGGCACCCACCAGGTGTGTGGACAGGAGCGCTCAGGGGCCTTGCACATTGGGCATATTATGGCGTCAGTTTCGGAATCAGCCTGCATGGAGTCGGACCAGGACACCCAGCCAGGATTCCGTCGTCGGGGAGGGGAACGCCCATGTGGCTTGTGTGAAGGGTGCTTCAGGGGACGCAAAGGCTCTGGTGGCTGGGAGGAGCTGAGGGATGACAGATACCCCAAGGATTCTGTGGAGCTGGTCGGGTTTGGTGATAGGGTGCTCGCAGGTGGCCGGTGTGAAGGGTGCTTCAGGGGACACAGAGGCTCTGATGCCTGGGAGGAGCTCAGGGATGATGGAGACCCAAGGGACTCTATGGAGGTCTTCGGGACTGATGACGGCATGGAGGCCAGAGGAGCCGGGGGAGCCCGTGGGGACACATGGAAGCTGGTGGGAGAAGCTTTCCCACGCCCCCCACGTGGCCGGTGGTTCCTAGCAGGTGCTGGTTTGTACACTGGCCCTGGGCGGACTTGGCGTGGAAGGTGATGGGAGCTGCCCTCCCTAGAGAGCTTCTTCAGGCGCCTGCAGGAGACAGGAGGCACAGGCTGCAGCCGGGAGCACTGGGCACCTGTGGACCTCCAGGGCCCCCCTGCTGACTTCACAAAGCTCTGCCTACCCCTGCCCAGGGCTTTAGTGACATAACGGCCGTGATCTCCCCTCCCAGATCAGCCCCAGGCCCTGGGGTGGCATCCTAGGTCCTGGTAGGAAGGAGGACATGGGAGAGAAGGGGAAGAGCCTCACTTTTCCAGCAGGAAAGTGTAGACCTCAAGGTTCTCCAATTCTTTCAAGAGAATTCTGCAGTCTGGAAAGCAGGAGATGGGTTATGGTGGCGAGGGAGGGAACTGGGACTTACAGGAGGCCGAGTGCGTGTGCCCTTAGGGGAGACCCCGGGATCGGGGATTAGACCCTGGAGCCCCAGCATCCCTGTCCAAGGCCACAGGGCCCCAGGAGTGATAGCCAGATGCCCGGTGGGCAGCGTTTTCTCATTTATAGAGTGCCTCCTGACACTCCCCATCATGGGGGTCACGACCACCTCCTGGGGAGAGAGGACAGGGTGGCCTCAGAGAGGGCTCAGCCATGTTAAACAGCTGCCCACATGGACCTGCAGCCCCTCCTGCATGTCCAGGTGGTCACTGGTCCCCTCCCCCACACGGTCCCCTCCTGGGCAACACCTGCTTCCTGGACCCCATGGCTTCATCCCATGGAGAGGGATCCCGGGTTCCAATTTCTCTCCTAGGAGGTTCCCTTCAGGCCTCTGAAAATGAATTCCTTGGAGACAAGCAGCATGTTCCTAGGATCAGGTGAAGCTGTCACCTCTGGGGGCTTCTGGGACCCTCAGAGCCTTACCTTTCAAAGTGATATATTTATTTCCGATCCTGAGCCATTCCCCCACTTCAGCTTGATCCTGAGAGACAAGAAAGAGGGTGCAGGCCGGGTCTCAGTCTCCTGTCCCCACAGCTGCAGACCCAGTGCTCGTGAATGACACACTTTCTCCGCCCAGCTCATGGAGCCTGTGTGCTTCTCTTTCACTGGTTTCTAAAGTGCGTAATAACCTTTTTCTGGTTTCCTTCTCTGGAAAGCATGGAGGGGTTTTCTATGTGAGGCCTGCCCTGGGTATCCTCAGTCCCTGTTCCGCTGCTTGGGAAACACACACTCTTGGGTCTGCAGGTGCCTCTGAGCTGGCAGGGAGGATTCTGCTTCCGAGGAGGCCAGGGGCGACTCCAGTCTCAGGTGGGAGGCTCTCAGGGGCTCAGCACAGCCCCCAGAGCACCTCACACAGAGGCTGGGCCCCGAGGCACCTGCCCAGGAAGGCGGCTGATGAGCCCGGGCTCAGGGCCTGTCCTTCCACAGAGACCTCACCCCTCTCATGACCGGGTCCTCGCCGCTGAGTCCTGGGGTTTGGTTTTGCTCTGACGCCTCCCGTGCACCTCCACAGATGGTCTGGGGGCTTGGGTTGGAAATCCTATGCCCACTCCAACCCCTGCCTGCCCTGCTGTCCCTAGAGGGATGATGAGAGTTCCCATCACAGGAGCGCCTCTGGTTGATGTGGAAAAGTGGAAAAGAGAGCAGGAAAAATAGAAGCATTCTCTGCTGGGTGTGGGCTGAGGGCTCCTTACATTCTCGCTGTCCTCCTCTCTGGGAGGCACTGAGGATGGCTCCCTGGGAATGTAGGGGCATAAGATGATCAGGATCACCAGGCTGAACACAATGAAGAGGACGAAATGGATGATCTGGGGAATGGGGCTGGGGCACAGCTCTGTCTCAATAACACTGTGCAGAGGAAAGAGAATATCCATGTCAACTGCACTGCTGTCCTCAGGCAGCTGAGCCCTGGGCATCCCCTCTGGGACAAGTT